>NC_000006.12:13393333-13544848 GCF_000001405.40 Homo sapiens
GAACAGAGCGAGACCCCATCTCAAAAACAACCACCAAAAAAAAAAAAAAAAAAAAAAAAGGAAAGAAGTAAGAAGATGGGACAGAAGCCTTTATAGTCATGCCCCTTCCCCTGCTTGCCATCCTTGTAGAAAGGACCACCGGCCAGTCCAGAGAGACCCTGCAGACACAGCAACAGCGCAGCTCCTGTAGAGCTCTCCATCACGGTACCATAACAGGGGTTCCTGAAAACAGAGTCTCCTCCTCTCATTTCTCAAGTCTGGTGATAACAAAACTTGCTGAACTATTTCTTTTCAATAGTGCCAACCAGTGCTTGAGTTTTTAATTTTTAAAAAAATCATTGATTACAAACAACTGTTTTTTCAGAGAGGGAGTTGTTACCTATTCAGTTGATATGGACTCTACAAAATAGTACATTATTTTCCTTGGCCAATTTCTTTTTTCTTTTCTTTTTTTTTTTTTTTTTGAGACGGAGTTTCGCTCTGCCGCCCAGGCTGGAGTACAGTGGTGCGATCTCGGCTCACTGCAAGCTCCGCCTCCCGGGTTCGGCCACTCTCCTGCCTCAGCCTCCCGAGGAGGTGGGACTACAGGCGCCCACCACCACGCCCGGCTAATTTTTTGTATTTTTAGTAGAGACGGGTTTCACCATGTTAGTCAGGATGGTCTCGATCTCCTGACCTTGTGATCCACCCACCTCGGCCTCCCAAAGTGCTGGGATTACAGGCGTGAGCCACTGTGCCTGGCTCCTTGGCCAATGTCTTAAATAATGTACAGTTATTGTGCAAGCTAGCTAACTGATAAATAGACTCATTTAAAAAGATGTACCTTGTTGTTAGTCACACATTATCTTTTTCATAATTTTATATAAAATTTGTACTTCAGATGAAAAAATGAGAAAGTTCTTCATGTATTATATGACAAGTTAGACAAAAACAGGCAAGATGCAGAAGAATGTGCATGGTATACTATCATCTGTACAGAAAAAAGAATAAATATATATTTGCTTGAATTTATGTAGAATATCTCTCGGAAGGAACACTGATAACTTTGGTCGTCTCTGGGCAGGAGAACGGGTGTCTGGCGGGGGGAAGGATGGAAGGAGCTTTTCAGCATATCTGCTTTTGTACCCTTTGAATTTTTTTTTTTTTTTTTTTTTTTTTTGAGACGAGGTCTTGCTCTTTTGCCCAGGCTGGAGTGCAGTGAGGTGATCATAGCTCACTGCAGCCTCAAACTCCTGGGCCCAAGCAATCCTTCTGCCTCAGCCTCCCAAGTAACTGGGACTACAGGTGCATGCTACCATACTTGGCTAATTTTTTTTTTTGAGACAGTCTCGCTCTGTTGCTCAGGGTGGAGTGCAGTGGCATGATCTCAGCTCACTGCAACCTCCACCTCCTGGGTTCAAGTGATTCTCCTGTCTCAGCTTCCCAAGTAGCTGGGATTACAGGCACGTGCCACCATGCCCGGCTAATTTTTGTATTTTTAGTAGAGATGGCGTTTCACCATATTGGCCAGGCTGGTCTTGAACTCCTGACCTCAACTGATCCACCAGCCTGGGCCTCCCAAAGTGCTGGGATTACAGGCGTGAGCCACCATGCCCGGCCTTTCATACCTGGCTAATTTTTAAAAAATTTTGTAGAGATAGGGTCTCACTGTGTTTCCCTGGCTGGTCTTGAACTCTTGGCCTCAAGGAATCCCCCGACTTTAGCCTCTCAAAGTATTGGGATTACAGGTGTGAGCCACTGTGCCTGGCTAGGTTTCTTTCTTTTTTCTCGTAGAGACAGTGGCTTTGCTATGTTGCCCAGGCTTCTTTTAATTTTGAACAAGGTGACTACATTGCCAGTTCAAAAATACATAGATAAAATTAAAATTTGTATTTAAAAATGAAAAAATTGCCCTCACAATGTCCCTTAGATGGGAAATGGGGGCTAAGGTTTCAGGAGGGAGGGACAGGCTGGATTAAACAAGGAATGGCACATCCATCAGCATGACAGCCATGGCCTTGGCATGGCCATCTCCCAAGAGGCACTGGATCCATGATAAAGAGCCTATAAACCACCCGATAAAACTCATATATCATTCCCTTGCCTCTGATAAGGGGATCTTGTTTTTCCTTTCTTGCAATACAATAGAGATTCATGAATTAGCCAGAAATTCAGATACTGCTGTGTCATGGGCTGGTTGGCTTAGAGGTTGGACAGATGCCAGCCCCTTCCTAGCTGTGTGAGCTCAGATAAGGGAGTTAAGCTCTCGGGGCTCCAGCTTCCTCATCAGTAAAATGTAGACAGCAATATCCTGATGGATCAAATAAAGATAACTTATGTAAAGCAACTGGCTGCCAGTACTCAGTCAGAAATGTTAGCCCTTTTCCACTTGAGATAAAGAGCCCAGAGGCTTTATGAGTTCCCTGGTCTTTGTTCCCACTGAAGAAACTTCCTTGGCATCAACGCTACGGCCACTCCACCGTGCACCAGTTAGTTCCCAGCCATGAGCACAGAAGCTGAGGACCTGACCCTGAGGGTCCCACTCAGGCCGTGGTAGCCCCAGTCCAGGGCACTGAGGCAATTCTAGTCTAGCTGTGCTTTGTTTACTCCGTGGGGGATCTGAGCCTGGGATGAGCAGAGGGCAGGCGGAAGGGGATGCAGGAATGTCATCATTGTATGTCACTATCATCTGCCCTTTCCAAACTTGTAGCTCCGGGTTTTAGAATTTGGAGGCCTGGGGAACGCATTTACATGTTTCATTTGTTTGTTTTTAGTAACCATGTAATCACCCATGTGAACTAAGCTGAGGAACAGTGTCACTTCTGCTTCTACGTAGCTCACTAGAAATCCTCCAAAGAATTATAGCCATCATTTGTTGAGCACCTACTGTTTGCCAGCGACAGTACTAGATGCTTTATCTTCAATCTTCCCTGCAGATCTCTACCTCCCTCTTATGGATCAGAAAATGGAGGCTCTGAAATAGCATATTTAATCTGTGCCAGGTTAACAGAGCTAACAATTGGGTCAGGATTTGAACTTGGCTCTGAGGGGCCATGTGCTTTCCAGTGCACCTCTCAAAGTAAGCGCCACACTGAGTTACAGAGAGCTGTGCCCATAGCATCATCACCTACAGGGCAGGTGGCCTTTTCCTAGGAGTTGGTGCCAAGGATTCTGAGTCCTCCTGTGTGGCAGACTGAATGTCGACATCCCGATCCCCAGAGCCTGTGAATGTTTTCTTATAGAATGGCAAAAGAGACTTTGTAGGTGGGATGAAGTTAAGGATCATGAACTGGGAGGATTATCCTGGATTAGCCAGGTGGGTGGGAGGTAAGCACCACTCTTACAAGAAGGAAGCAGGAGATCAGAATGGGTCATAGGAGCTGTGTCCTGGAAGCAAGAGGTTGGAGGGACTTGAGAAAGGGGTCATGAGCCAAGGTATACAGGCAGCTTCTAGAAGCTGGAAAAGGCAAGGGTATGGATTCTTTCCAGAAGCTTCCAGCAGGAACACGGCCCTGCCAGCACACTGAATTTAGACTTTCTACCTCTACAACTGTGAAGAGAATAATCTGTATTGTTTTAAGCCACTAAATTTGTGACAATTTATTACAACAGCAAGGGAAACTCATATACCTGGGGATGTTTCAAGTCAGAGGAAGGGATATTTACCTCCCAGGAGGAAGGTAGGGCTTCCTGAGTGGTGGTGATCACAGGTGTGCAGTGACCGACACCTTCAGAGCCACAGAGAGGCCAGATGTTGGAAACAGTGCTCAGAGAAGGGACAAGAGCACCCAGAACCTTTGCTTAGGGAGCAGGAGCAGACCCATTGTGGGTGCCCACAGTGGTCTCGAACTCCTGGACTCAAGTGATTGGCCCGCCTCGGCCTCCCAAAGTGCTGGGATTACAGGTGCAAGCCATGGCGCCCAGCAAGACAGATTCTTAATAAAGTAAAACAAAGCCTTACTCTAAAGCCCGGCAATTCCACTCCTAGAAATTTACCAAAGAGAAATGAAAACAAATATCTACACAAAAGATCCAAATGTGAAGCCACCCTCGAAATGAAAAGTGGTGTCCAGCTCAGGCCCCTTGTCTCTCCATCTGAGGACTCGGGCCTGCCGTGAGAAAGTGATCTGCATCTTCACTTTTCACTTCCTCTTTCACCTCCAGGCCCTCTGGCATCTCTGGGGCAGCCTCTGCCATAACCTGGAAGGGTGGAGGCCCAGCCTTGTATCATAAAACCCAGGGGCCGGCCCACTGGGGAGAACAGAAGGCACTGATACCACCTGGGAGGGCAGATATTTGCCTCCACCTGCTTCCACTTTAGAAGCCAATGCAAAACAGGAGAGCAGGGTGGGGAACAGGACAAATATTTGGCCAAGTACCAATTCAGTCTTAGGAATGAGCAGAAGATGGTGATGTCTTGCAGTGGGCATACCCGGAATAACACACAGCCCACGTGGCATTATCCCGGCACATTCTATTACTAACAATTTGAATGGGGGCAGGGGCAAACCTTTGCAAATGAAACATATTTTATATGAAAATAAACACTGTCACATTTGGAACTGAAAACAAATTTTGCATTAATTTTTAAAAGAAGACTTTTCCGACTATGGGCCACATCCCCAGATACTCCCTCTATCTTCCAAAGTATGCATCTTCTTTGCCCTGTCCTTAACTGCTATTGCAGAAGGAAGTCTGAGAAGCTGTGTATAGGGGAAAGTGCAAACCTGGAGCCTCTGCCGCTGGGTTTGACTCCAGGGGCTGCCAGCACGAGCTGTTTCATGTCAGTTACTGTACTATACCGTATATTATGTTATGTACAATGTCAGTTACTGCTCTGAGCCTCGGCTTCCTCATCTTCAAAATGGAAATGAGAACTATTACCTCATAGGGCTGTTCTGAGGATTAAATGAGATCAGGTATGTACATACCTTGCACATTAGTCAGTTATTACTGTTAACAGCATTCACAGACACCTAACTTGGATCTGTTACGAGGCTCACTTCCTTAGCAGGGATCAGGAAAATGCTGATACAAGACCAGGTAGAACCTCCGTTTCGAGTTTATCCTTTTGAAATGTTCCAAATCTTGATTGGTGGTGATTTGAGTGTACGCATTTAGCAAAGCTCATTAAAGTATACACTTACTATCTGCTTATTTCACAGTATGTAAATTTACCTGAATAAAAAATTGTTTCAAAAAAAGTTGCTCCTCTGTCCTTAAACACCTATTTTGTATATTTAACCCAGAATGTGCACCCCAGTGCACAAATGCAGCGTCCAAGGAGCTCACATCGGGTGTTTAGTTTTGATTAATGGGCTTTCCTGGACTCAGAAAGGAGGTAATTTAGGATCCCAGCTGCCTGCAGGCAGAAAGAGGCTCTGTTGAGCCATCAGCACCTCACTGCCGCCTGCTCAGCCTCCCGGGCTTCTCAATAAATGGCGACTCCACTTTCCCTCAGGTCAGGGCTCAGACCAGTCAATGGCCACCACGGGGCAGCATCCCAGAACAGGAGGTAGGGAGGGACATCCAGGGGCTCAGCTGCTTTTGAAAGCTCTCTATTGACAAGGACGCCACAGACACCAGTTGATTTGACTCGTTGTTATTTTTTCTAGCACAAATCATGAGCCAGTTACAGTAACACTGGGCATTTAAAAGGCAGGAGCTAGACAAGCACTTTACTACTTTGGAAAACAGATTTTGTTGTTTTGTTTTGTTCTGAGACAGGGTCTCACTATGTTACCCAGGCTGGAGTGCAGTGGCGCAATCAAAGCTCACTTCAGCCTTAACCTCGCGGACTCAGGTGATTCTCTCACCTCAGCTTCCAGGAGCATACCACCAAGCCTGGATTAATTTTGGTGGTGGGGGAGGGAGGGGTGGCATGTAGGGACAGTTTTTCCATGTTTCCCAGACTGGTCTCGAACTCCTGGACTCAAGTGATTGGCCCGCCTCGGCCTCCCAAAGTTCTGGAATTACAGGTGCAAGCCACGGCACCCAGCAAGACAGATTTTTAATAAAGTAAAACAAAGGCTTACTCTAAAGCCCAGCAATTCCACTCCTAGAAATTTACCAAAGAGAAATGAAAACATATATCTACACAAAAGAACCAAATGTGAATGTTTGTTGCAGTTGTATTTATAATTGCCAAAAACTGGCAATGACTCAACATCCAACAGCAGCTGAATAGATAAATAAATTGTGATACCTTCATAAAATAGAATACTACTCAGCAGTAAAGATAAATGAACTACTGAGACATGCAACAATATGAAGAAATCTCAAAACCGGTATGCGGAGTGAAAAGAAGCCAGAGGCAAAAGGATGCAGACATTCTATTTATCTGCAATTGTAAAACAGGCAAAGTGAGCTATCAGGGCAGAAAGCACAGCAGTGGTTACTGGGGCTGGGACAGGGGCTGAGGCTGGGAGGGTAGAGAATGCACCAAAAAGTCAACTAAGGCAACTATCCGGAATGATTGGAAATTTCCATATCTTGAAATTGCAGTGGCATTGCACAGGTATATACATTTACCAAAACTCACAAAGCTATACATTTAAAATAGGTACATTTTATTGCATGTAAATTACCTCAACAAAAGTAGCAGGGAGAAGGAGAAGGGTGATCTGATGTCTCTGAGGGGTGCTCCCTTTTGGGGAAGCCAATACATCATTTCTTTCTCCTAAGATCCTCCACGTGGTCACACAGTTACTGAGAAGCTGTTTTAATCTATACAACTGTGGGGATTCTGATTTTTTTTTTTTAAGAGGCCTCTGGCCTCCTGATATATTGAAGAGAAAATAAAGACTTCCTGGATGGCAAAAGCTCTAAAATAGACATAGTGCAGGCCAATACACTAAGACATGCAGGACCGGGCAGGGATTCAGCCAGCACACAATGGCAGTCACATTGGGGGTGGGATAAATGTTAAAATATCTATTTATCAGTTAGTAAATAGCCACTGCCCTGAAATGCCTGAATATCTCTCTATTATCCAGGAATCCTCCCCATCTCTCCAAAGCTCAGCAACTTGAAGAGTTGGTGGTTACCACTGCGGAAGCCACCAAGATCCCACTCCAGCTCCTAGGCACCTCTGTGCTGATGGGTTAGTGCCTGGCCATACTCCATAAAAACATATTTCAGATGTCCCATTCCTCCTGTTATGAGGCTCACTTTCTTAGCAGGGATCAGGAAAATGCTGATACAAGACCAGGTAGAACCTCCGTTTCGAGTTTATCCTTTTTGAACAATTTAATTTAGGAGTAATTCGAAGCAGATAGTGATCAAAAGAGCACACATTTCGTCAGAATGAAGTGCTGCTGATGGAAAAATACATAAAAGTGGGAGAATCTTTTTCCACTTTTAAGCTCTGCTTGGACCCTAGTCAGACTCATGTCTTACATGCAGATGAACATTTCAAAGCAAGAGGGAAGAGTCTTGGGAGACCAGAGACAACACCATATCTGGTGACTAGAGAGTAAAGATGGTGAGGGAACACAGGAGGCCCTGAATGACAAACTGTTCTGTGGGACAAGGGAGACTGGTTCTTCACCTATTAAAGAAAGAGGCACGAGAGTCCTCTCCACCATTCTTTATCACTATTAGTCATTGACTCTCAAGTACAGGGGGTGGGGACAGGAAACAATGATGTTCTGTCAATATCCTCAGCAAGGATTACTTCCCCTCAACAGGTGCCTGGAGAGCCAACAACAGCATCACATACTTGTGAAGACCATAAGTCTATGTTTCAAATTCCTTTCTATAAAGTGAGGTGCGAGAGAGCCGAGACCCATTTAAGGAGGATGTCTGACTATAGATGTTAGCCTGTGTGAGGTGACAGACTTATTGCACTGGAATAATATGAATTTAAACCCTTAAAGCACAAAAAGGAAAAAAGAGGGACTCTTAGAAAACGGAGGAGACTTGAAAGGTCTAATTGCCAGGCATAAGGCGTGGGCCTGTTTGGATCCCTATTCCAAAAGGCCAACCATGAGACGACATTTTATAGATAATCCAGGATATCTGAATCTGAGCCGTGTAGCAGATGAGAGCAGGGAATCCTTGTTCATTGTCATGGGTCCAGTAGTGGAAGGGAAGGGAAAGGGAAAAAGGGAAAGGGAAGGAACCAGTCCTTATTAGTTAGAGATGCTAGCTATGGTATTTACAAATGGAATGTCATACAAGTATTTATGGATAATGGGGCACTATTTAATTTAAAATGTTGCAGAAAAATGAACAATCTGAATATGAATTAAGAAAACAAGTCCATTTACAACAGTATCAAACAGAATACTTAGAAATACATTTAAGAAGTACAAAATATGTACTATGAAAATTAAAAAATCTATTTGAAAAAAATCAAAGAAGATCTTAATCACTGGAATGACATCCTGCGTCCATGGATCAGAAAACCTAATATTGATAAGACAGTAATATTATCCAAATTGATCTACAGAGTCAAAACAATTGCTATCAAAATTCCAGTTGCTTTCTATGTAGAAATTCACAAGCTGGTCCTACAATTCACATGAAAATGCTAGGATCCCAGAATAGCAAATGTTATCTTGAAAGAATATCCTCTTTAAAAGTAGTAGGAAAACTACTTTAGCACTTCATGATTTCAAAACTTACCTCAAAGCTACAGTAATCATGATGGTGTACTACTGGCATAAGGATGAACAAATAGATCAATGAGAAGAATTAATTAAGAGTTCAGAAATAAATTTTATCTTACGATCAACAGAGTTTCAACAAAAGTGCCAAAAAATTCAATGGGAAAAGAATCGTCTTTTTAACAAGTGGTGCTAGAACAACTGGCTATCCACATGCACAAAAATGAAGTTGGAGGCCTATCTCATGTCACATGCAAAAATTTACTCAATATGGATCAAAGCCTAAATGTAAAAGCTAAAACTATAAAACTCTCCAAAGGAAACACAGGAGTAAAACTTTGACATCTCGGGTTTAGGCAAAGCCTTCTCTAGATATAATACCAAAAGACAAGTGACTATATATAACATATATAACTTGAACTTCATCGAAACAAAAAACTGTACTTTAAAGGACATCATCAAGATATAAAACCACCGACTGAATGGTAGAATATATTTGCCAGTCACAGATGTGAGAAGAAAAAGGGTATCTATAACATGTAAATAACTTAACAATTCAGTAAGAAGAAGACAACTCAAATAAAAAATGAGAAAGGATCTAAATGGACATTTCTCCAAAGAGGGCATATAAATGGCCAATAAACACATGAAAAGATGCTCAACATCATCAGTCTTTAGGGAAATGCAAATCTAAACCACAATAAGATGCTACTTTATGCCCATTAGGATGACTATAATAAAAAAGACAGAAAATAACAAGTGTTGGCATGGTTGTAGAATAATTGGAACCCTCAAACATTGCTCGTAAGAATGTACAATGGTGTAGCCACTTTGAAAAGCATCCTGGCAACTCCTCAAAAAGTTAATCATAGAGTGACCATATGACCCAGCAATTCCAATCCTAGGTATATAGCCAAAAGAAATGAAGAAAGGTACTCAAACAAATACTTGTACATAAATATTCATAGTAGCACTGTTCACCATAGCCAAAAGGTGGAAACAATCCAAATGTCCATCAACCGATGAATGAATAAACAAAAGGTGGTACAGTCATGCATCATTTTCTCATGGGAATATGTTCTGAGAAATGCATCATTAGGCGATTTTGCTGTGCAAACATTATACAGTGTACTTACACAAACCTAAATGGTAGGGTTTTTTTGTTTTGTTGTGTGTGTGTGTGTGTGGTTTTTTTTTTTTTTTTGGTATTTTTTGTTTTTTTGAGACGGAGTCTCGCTCTGTCGCCCAGGCTGGAGTACAGTGGTGCGAACTCAGCTCACTGCAACCTCTACCTCCTGGGTTCAAGTGATTCTCCCGCCTCAGCCTCCTGAGTAGCTGGGATTACAGGCATGCACCACCATGCCCGGCTAATTTTTGTATTTTTAGTAGAGACGGGGTTTTGCCATGTTGGCCAGGCTGGTCTCAAACTCCTGACCTCAGGTGATCCGCCTGCCTCGGCCTCCCAAAGTGCTAGGATTACAGGCGTGAGCCACCGTGCCCAGCCTGATGATAGGTTTTTATGTGCTTACCATACACCTAGGCTATATGGTACAACCTATTGCTCCTAGGCTACAAAGCTGTATAGCATGTTATTGCACTAAATACTGTAGGCAATTGTAACACAGGGGTAAGTACTTGTGTATCTGTAAAAATGTACAGTAAAAATTATAATACTATGAGACCACCATTATATATGTGGTCCATCATTAACTGAAACATTGTTATTTGTTACAAGACTGTATAGCCATATGATGAAATATATTCAGCCATAAAAGGAATGAAGTGCTGATATATGCTGCAACATGGATGAACCTTGAAAATATTATGACATGTGAAAGAAGTCTCAGAAGAGACCACTTATTTTATGGTTTCATTTATATAAAATCTCCAGAAAAGGCAAATCTATAGAAACAGAAAAAATAGTGGTTGCCTAAGGTTGCAGTGGAAGGATGTTGGAAGAGTGATTACTAATGGATATATGGTTTATTTCTGGGGTGATGAAATGTTCTAAAATTGATTATGGAGATGGTTGTACAACTCTGTGAATACATGGCATTTTTGGCAGGAAAAAAGTGGGAAGTTATAGATGAAATATGAATAGCAAAATGTTTGAATGTTTATATATTTTTAAAAGTTAAAAAGTAAACAACGATAGTTTGAAATCAGCCTAATTTTAAATGAAACTTGGAATACATTTCTGTGATGTCTAAAATATTGACTATCATTTTAATGCACATAGAAAATTACTGGAAAAGACTGTGCAAAATATTCTGAGATGGGGAACCATTTAAGGGATCCCAAGGGTCCAAGTCTGATCCAGGCTCAGCCTTTTCTTGCACCAGGAAGTCACAAAGCCATGGACTCATCAAGTAGTCATTTAGTCCAGCCCCTTCTTAGAACTGAGGGAAACTGCAGCCAGCCAGGAAGACCGAGGAACTTGCCTAAGCTTCCTGCCTTTCATGAACTTCTTTTAAGGATCAAATGAGACAATGTGTATGATGAAGTTTTATAAATCCTTTGGATTAGAACTGTAGTATGTGAAACACGTGAGCCTGAACCTCAGTTCTGCTGCTTTTTTGCTACAGCCAAGGGGGTGGCTTAATTTCCTTCAGCCTCAATAAAAATGAAGATACCACCAGCCTCAAAAGGGTGTTACAAGAACTAAATGAGGCAACACTATCCCAGCATCTCCCAGAACAGGAACTCGGTATGAGCTAACTGTTAGCCACGTTCTTAGCAAAAGAACATGTGAACTACACAGTGGAGGCTGCATGCACACTTGGGTGCAAAATTTAAAGTAATGTCATTTCAAGATGTAAAGAGGAAATTCTCATTTACAAAACCTGGTTGGAGTTGTCTGCATGAGTAATTTTCATGGGATCGGCCATGTAAAATAGTTTGTTTTTAAAGGTTCCAAGAATAACATGCTAGAGTCCTCTGTGCCAAATTCCACCTTTGGGTCAAATTTCACCATTGCTTTATGAGGCACCCAATGTTTAAAAATTTTTTAATTTAAATGTCTCTATGTAGGGCACCTCTCTCCCCAGTGCACCACAAGCCCCACCATTCTCTGTTGTCTATCCTCAACCCCATCTCACCTTACATCAGTACCTGGTCCCTGAAGGTGATTAAGTTTCTAGACTCTATCTCAAATGCTAGGAAATCTCTTTGTTGGCTATCCAACTTTCCTCTTATAAAGGTTTGCAGAGCCTCTTCTTTTCTTTTGAAGTCTTCTCAAGCTTTAGAAGGTTTTTAAAAGTTCATTTAAATATTTTCAATAACTTAAAAAAAGTGCTACAGTATTTTAAAAGATAACATAGACCAGTACTTTCCCAATAGGAGAAAAATACAAGCTGCAAATGCAAGCCACTTGCATAGTTCTACATTTTCTAATAGCTACGTTAATTAAGGGGAAAAAACAGGTGGAATTAATTTTAATAATATATTTTCCTTAACACAATATATCCAAAATTTTATTAACATGTAATCAGTATAAACATTTCTCTTTCAAACGAAGTATTTGAAACCCAGTGTATGTTTTATATTTACAGCACATCTTAATTTGGACTGGCTCAAGTGCTGATAGCTAGCAAGTGGCTAGTGACTCTGAATGGGACAGCACAGATTGAGATGACCAGTTATAAATCATCCAATATGAGGCCTTGAAAGAAGATGTGAGGTTACATAGGAAAAGAACCTCTACATTAGAAAATATGTAAGTGGCAGATTCCAGGGTTTTGGTGGTCTTGCTGGTGACCGTGGCTATAGTAAAGTTTGAGATGGAATGAAACTTAGATCATATTATTCCAGCATACAGGAGGAGGGGAGGACATTCACAGCTTCTATTTTTGCTGCTGTTTCTCCTTCTGTCTTTCCCACTATATGTGTATTGTGGGTGGGATAGGGCAGAGTTGAAGATAAAGTGAACAAAGAAGCATAAAAGACGGGATTGAGACATTGCCACTCCTGAGAGATACTCGCAAGCCCCAGCCTCAACTCATCAGTGGCTTGAAGGGTTCCAGGGCCAGGAGGAGCCTGGGGACATTGGCAAGGATCTTCCTTTCACTCTTGGCCTCCCCACCCCAACTTCTGAGGCAGCATCCTCTATCTCTAAAGAACAGGCCTCCCGCCTCTGCTATTCAGGGAATATTATGTTCTCCCAACTGTTATATTTTGGGTCCTTTTGGCAGGAGGTGGAGATGGGCAGGGGTGGAAAGAACCCACAAATGTTCTCGGAACAAGGAACCAGTAAAGTACAGACATCTGGCCCCAGGATTTTGCTGGCTCCAGGGACGTCACTATAAACCCACTAACACTAATTGCTTTCACGTCTGCTCCCATTTCTAGTGGAAATAAAATGCCTCTCTGGCTAATGGAAAATGAAACGCCGTTTGCTGTTTGTTTACCACATTACATAAGAGCTTTCTGTAGCACCCCTCCTCCCCTGGCCCCTGCCCTGAAACCCTCTGAAGGACAGCTTGTGCAAAGCCTGCAAGCGCTCTACAAATACAAGGTAACACGGCTTCAGAAAGGGCGCCTGTATTCACGTTAGGACTGTACAACTCCTTAATCCTAAACAGACGGGAGGGGAGGGCAGAAAGAAGAGAGCGAGAGCACAATCGAGAGTGAGAAGAGAAGAATTCTATTTGCTTTAAATTCATGCTTCCAGGAATATTTTCCATCTCCTTACTTGATGCTAAGTGCAAAGATCTAGAGTAGCTCATCAAACCTCAACTTCTAAATTCAATTTCCCTGACAAAGAAGGGGAAATAAAGGTCCAGCTGAAACTGGGGTTTAAGAAAGTGGACTCTCATCCATTGGGCCTTTAAAGTGTCTGACAGTAGGTGATTGGGAGGCCTTCTTTGACAGTCCTGTTCTGGTTGGCTGCCTGTGTTTATCCCCATGTTGGCATTTTGTACACAGTGTGATAGCAAATATAAAGACCTCTGGCTGTCCTTCCTCTGCCCTTGTCAGTTCTCTCCTTCTCCAGCAGCAGAACCACTCATTTCAGCTGGACCCATGGTTGCCAAGAATAAAAAACTCCATTTCCCAGTCTCCCTTGCCATTAAGTGTGGCCATGTGACTAAGTTCTGGCCAATGGGATGTGAATGGAAGAGCTGTGTAAACTTTCCATGGTGCACCCTCCATTTCCCTTTTCCTGTGTGACAAGCATAAGGCTATATTGGGCCATGAAGGCAAAGACAATACTCTAGGGATGGTGGCGCCAAGACAGAGGATCCTGGATCCCAAACACTATAGAGCTGCCAGACTGCTTACAGAGCGACTGCTATGGGAGGAAGAACTTTTTATTTTGGATCTGGGTTACTGCAGCTGAAATTGTATGCTTGGGATCTATTTGCTGAAGAGAAGAAAGGAGGATACCCTTAAAATAGATGACCCCACCATTTGGCTTTCACATTGAAAAGTCAGCCTCAGCTCTTCCTACTTTTCTTATTGATGAAGAATCTTACACCCCTACCAGCTCCCGGGCCTCAAAGACTACATCTTCCTCCTTGCCTTTCTTTGTCCCCATTTTCTTCTGTATGCTGCCTACTCCCAGGCTGGCACAGAGCAGCACTCCTTGACCAGAATGGCCCAGACAGTTGGAATAAAGGATGACATTAAAATAGAGCCCTTTGTTATGTCTCTAGGGAGTGTCTTCAAAACACCCTGTTACAATGGCCGAGAAAATTGCCTGAGATGGCCAAGTTCAAAGGGCTTATCTTTGAATCAAAAGCGGGAATGGGGTTTTGTGCAAATGTCATCTTCTGCCCAGTTCTGAGTTTCTATGTAGCAAACTTGGAGTAAAGTTAAGATCAAATGGGGCTCAGAGGATCAGCTATTACAATAGGCCTCAGTCAGATGGCTTTTCTTGAGCCACTGGATTTCATCAGAAGAGAATTGCAAACACAAACCCTTTGTTTAATGTAGACGGTGATGAAATAAATAGGGTGACTCCATCTCAACCACCCTCCTCCCTGTACTCACCCAACCAACTGACTCTCGGAGATTGCCCAACCAAAGAGCAGAAGTTCACAGAATATCTCTTCTTGGGTCAGCACCCAAAGGTGGGAGCACTTGGCTTTGCTCCCAGAAAACTATAATCTGGTGAAGGCATGTGAGAAATGTGCCCTTCCCTACTGCATACTGCAGAAGAACGTGGCTGAGAGCCCGGCCACGGTAGCATCTATCCTCCACATAGAGTCTTTATGAAGTGACACCTTCTCTCTCCAGCTCAGGCAATAGCCTCTGCCTGATCAGAACACAATTGAATGTGGCCTTGGGCCAGACTATGGCAGGCAAAGGTTAATTTCCTTTCCTTCTTAGAGCAGGACCTAGTTCCAATTGCCTCGCTTTGCCTAACTCAATTTTCCGCACAATATAGCAAGCTCCTTATCTTGGGCAGTGAGGTAGAAGCTTCCCCTTGTTCCTCCTTATGGTTTCCAGTGGAACTTTGAGGAGGGGCACATTTTGCTTAAAAAACAGCATTAATTGTGAAGCGAGAATAGCTTTTCTACTGATGGCTGCTTTTCTAGCAAAAATGTCTGCCTGCAAGGACCTCCCCATGTGACCTGGCAGGGAGAAAAGATAATGAGGAGCTCAGGTGAACAACTCAGGACCTGAGGAAAGTAGGCCAGTGAGTCAAAATAAAATCCAGCCAGGAGCAAACAGAAGAGTTAATGAACAGGAGATCACCTGATGCCCGGGCCCCTCTACCTTTAGCGATTTCATGTCCGAAGGTACTCTGTGCTCACCCGGGTAACACAGCTTTGTTAAGAGAATAGTCAGGCTGATAGATTTGTTCACTTCTATAGTCGCTTATCTTGGAATTACTCCATTGTTTTTAGAAAAATGACAGTTCATTTTCTAAAAATTAACACAGGCCAGTGTGGTGGCTCACGCCTGTAATCCCAGCACTTTGGGAGGTGGAGGTGGGTGGATCACTTTGAGGTCAGGAGTTTGATACCAGCCTGGCTAACATGGTGAAACCCCCTCTCTACTAAAAATACAAAATTAGCCAGGTATGGTGGCATGTGCCTGTAATCCCAAGTACTTGCAAGGCTGAGGCAGGACAATTGCTTGAACCAGGGAGGTGGAGGTTGCAGTGAGCTGAGATTGTGCCATTGCCCTCCAGCCTGGGTGACAGAGTGAGACTCCATCAGAAAGGAAAGAAAGAAAGAAAGAAAGAAAGAAAGAAAGAAAGAAAGAAAGAAAGAAAGAAAGAAAGAGAGGAAAGAAAGAAAGGAAAGAGAGAGAGAGAGAGAAAGAAAGAAAGAAAGAGAAAGAAGGAAAGAGAGAGAGAGGAAGGAAGGAAGGAGAGAAAGAGAGAAAGAGAGAGAGAGAGGGAAAGATAGAGAGACAGAGAGGAAGGAAGGAAGAAAGGAAGGAAGGAAGAAAGGAAGGAAGGAGAGAAAGAGAGAGAGAGAAAGAGAGAAAGAGACAGAGGAAGGAAGGAAGGAAGGAAGGAAGGAAAAAAACAATGAAATAAAAGAGACAAATCCTAAGAAGAAAATGAAATGCCTCCAAACCCACCATCCGTCAAGTAACCATCATGAGATTAGGGGACTGCAATTTTAGTTACGTCTTTATGCACAGAGAGATAGTAGGAAGGATAGATTTACAAGCAGAAATAATTTAAAGGGAGTATAACACATAGTTTATTTAATAAAGAGGATTCCACTATTTGAACTTAACAGATAAGAAAGAAACTGAATTGCAGCCGGGCACGGTGGCTCACGCCTGTAATCCCAACACTTTGGAAGCCCGAGATGGGCAGATCACGAGGTTGGGAGATTGAGACCATCCTAGCTAACACAGTGAAACCCCGTCTCTACTAAAAATACAAAAAAATTAGCCAGGCATGGTGGCACACACCTGTAGTCCCAGCTACTCCAGGAGGCTGAGGCAGGAGAATGGTGTAAACCCGGGAGGCAGAGGTTGCAGTGAGCCAAGATCGTGCCACTGCACTCTAGCCTGGGCGACAGAGCGGGGCTCCATTTCAAAAAAAAAAAAAAAAAAGAAAGAAAGAAACTGAATTGAAATAGGATCTGCTACTGAATTTCTAAAATGATACGGATTTTTAGTTTTTTTTTTTTTTTTTTTTAGATTGGCAGGGTAAACCTCTAAGGCCAACTGAGGTAAACATCATCAGAAAAGCAGGTAACATAGGGAAATAAAGCCCCAGATGATGCACAAATGTTTTGTTTGGCACTCTGGGAAGATGCCTTAACTTCAGATAAATATAGCAAGCTACTCTGGAATTTGTGTTCTGGGAGCCCTGGCTCTGGCAATGCAGCTGGCTTGCTCCTGTGTTTGGATGGGTTATCTCATCTTTATAGGAAGGAGGCTCTACCTAATGCTTGGTAAATCCTGACAACAACAATGAAAGTTGGAAAGAAGGTTTGGGAGGCCAAGATGGGTGGATCAGCTGAGGTCAGGTGTTTGAGACCAGACTAACCAACATAACGAAACCCCATCTCTACTAAAAATACAAAATTAGCTGGGGGTGGTGGTGCATGCCTGTAATCGCAGCTACTCGGGAGGTTGAGGCAAAAGAATTGCTTGAACCCAGGAGGCAGAGGTTGCAGTGAGCTTAGATAGCATCATTGCACTCCAGCCTGGGCAACAAGAGCAAAACTCTGTCAAAGAAAGAAAGGAGAGAGAGAGAGAGAGAGAGAGAGAGAGAGAGAGAGGAAGGAAGAAAGGAAGAAAGAAAGAAAGGAGGAAAGGAAGAGAGGAAGAAAGGTGGAAAGAAGGGGCATTAATTACCCAATATGCTGGCAGAAAAAAGTAGAGAACAATTTGCAAGCTCAGAGTCAGTGTCATGGGATCCCAGGACAGACCAATATAGGTCTGACCAATTTGGATGGAAGGAGAAAAAGTGAGGAGAAAGAGGAAGAAGGAGGGTAGAGGAGAGAGACCTGACTCCCTACACTAACGCTGAGAATCAACACCTTACCCCTCACCCTCTGCCTCAGCACAGAAGGGCCCCATAATTACTCACACAGCAATACAGAGTTTAATTTCACGGATGCAGAAGGAAAGCTTTCAAAGTAACAAGGAAGCCTCACATAATTGTATGGTAAACCTGAGCTTTCACCAGGAGGAGCCCAGCTCCTGCAAACAGCCAGCATGTATGCAGACCTTTGAGTATGCTGTCATTGCGTTATAGGACAAATGAGACTGTCAGCAGGAATGGTGAAAAACAGAAGGAAGACTCCAGGCAAAGGGACACCTTGAAACACAGAGGAGAACAGAGAAGCCAGCTGTGAAGACAGAGGGCTCCAAACCCTGACTGAATCCAACCCGTGGCTCCAGGGCCTGCCTCCTTCATTACCAAGTGAGGATCCACAAAGACATCGGCTGTCTATTTTCTTTTCTTTTTTTTGAGACAGAGTCTCACTCTGTCAGCCAGGCTGGAGTGCAGTGGCGCGATACCGGCTCACAGCAACCTTTACCTCCTGTGTTCAAGTGATTCTCCTGCCTCAGCCTCCCGAGTAGCTGGGATTACAGGTGCATGCCACCATGCCTGGCTAATTTTTGTATTTTTAGTAGAGTCGGGGTTTCACCATGTTAGCCAGGCTGGTCTCGATCTCCTGACCTCAAGTGATCCACCTGCCTCAGCCTCCCAAAATGCTGGAATTACAGGCTTGAGCCACCGCGCCTGGCCCTCAGCTGCCCATTTTCATCCAGCTGTACCCTGCAGCCCGGTTTCCTCAGACGCAGTAACACTGTGTCACCAGAAAGGCCTCCTTCCTGTACAGTGGCTGCACTGATGAAGGCCTGCCATCCAGTCTGTGATAGGAGCCAGTCAGAGGCGGGAAGGAGCACCTTAACTTTTCCTTCTCTTCAAGGAATTAGGATGATCCCTTTCTACAACCCGCTCATTGACAGCATTTCCAGTGAGAAGCCCAAGGAAAGCCTTTACTTCAGAGACCAGAGCAGGAAGCCCAGAGCACGAGCTTTGGAATGGGACAGCCTGGTTCAACTTCTTGCTCTGCCTCTTTTTAGCTGTTGCGGTCAAATTACTCAGCGTCTTTGTGCCTCTGTTTCCTTAACTGAAACATGAGGGAAATAAGAAGAGCTACTTTAGAGCTATTGCAGGGATTAAAGGAAATAATCCACAGCAAGTGCTAAGAGCAATTCCAGCCTTAGCAAGAGCTCCAATATTAGCTATGAGGGTTAGACTGCCACTTAGTACATTATAAGTGTTATGAGCTGAAGTGTGTCCCTCTAAAATTCATATATTGAAGCTCAAACCCCCAGTACCTCAGAATGTGACTATATTTGGAGACACGTTCTTTATGGAGGTAATTAGGTTAAGAGGAGGTCATTGGAGTGGGCCTTAATCCACTAGGACTGGTGTCCTTAGGAGAAGAGGAGATGACGCAGACACAACAGAGGGAAGACCCTGTGAGGACACAGAGAAGACACCACCTACAAGGCAACGAGAAAGGCCTTAGGAGAAACCAACCCTGCTGGCACCTTGATCTTGAACTTCCAGCCTCCAAAACTATGAGAAGATAAATTTCCTTGTTTAGGCCACCCAGCGTAAACAGCCTTAGCAAACGAATACAAAGGTTGACTGGTATTTTTAGCAGAACTGATATTCAACCAGTGTGGAAGCAGAGCCAACATCACTTCTGGTTGGCAGTATCAGTTATGAAATATTTCAAATGTCTTTAACATCCACTCCCTTCCCCCCGTTGTTACTGTTACTCCAGGGGTGTCGACCCTGGGATGGGAGAACCAGCGTGGGCTGCAGAAATCAGTGGCAACAGGCCTGCCTTCTGCTCCCTCCTCTTGCCTTCCCTTCTGGGCTAACACAACTCAGCATGCCCTGTGCTCTGAGCACTTCCCCCGCCCTCCTTTGAAGCACAAAGGTTGTAATGACCAAGTGTAGTGACGGGGTGGAGAGGGCTCCTCTGAGCAAAGCTATTATCAAATGCTCATCTGAGAAGGCCTTGGGGATCCTGTCTGCCTCAGAGTGTGTGTGTTGCTATGACGATAAGCATGATCCTGTTTGCCCAGCATCTTCAGTCTTTCAAGTGGTCTCAGTGGCAGGTACTGTATACATGAGAGGCCCAAAGAAATCTGAACTGGGAATGAAGTTTTGCCCAGGCACATGGCCCACCCTCTTGGCTCTGCCACTGAGTCAGCCTTTGCCAACATGTTCCGCTGGAGTGCCTGCACCCTAGACTGAGGGGCCACTCGTACCTGAGGTTTTGCCCTCTTTTTTCAGTTACCAGCCACACAATTTGTCACTGCATCTGCCCACAGGGCCTTGACCCTTCCACACTCTCCTGGGAGACAGGAAGAAGGAACGGAGGTGACCTGCCAGTCTTAAAAATCTACCTGGGGACTGGCACTATGGGGAGCAGGCCACCCACTTGTGAAGGGTTGTTCAGCCTGTCATTGGCCTCCAGTTTTCTCTCCTGCCACCAAGGCACATCAGCACAGCTGGAGTCAGCATGCACAATGACAAGTAATGAGCACACATGCCTCATCAAAAGGATAATCAAAAGAAGAGGTCCGATCCAAGAAAAACCAACGTGATCCTCTCTAATGAATGGTCCCCACAGTGGCATTCAGCTCTAGAAGGGCAGGGAACTTCCAGCTGGCTGTAGTTTAGCTCTGTACTCTCCTTACCCAAGGTAAGCCAAGAGTGAGGCAGGCTGAAAAGAATGTATGAGCATTCCCTGGCCAAGATGGGAAAAAAAGCACCACTCTGAAGCAAGAATTGACCCTGCCCTCCAAGGCTGCCCCAGCTACCACCCCCTGGACCATGGGACAGCCTGTGCTGCCTTGTCCAAACAAGCATGTGTGCAAAGCAGCCCACAGCAAAGCCAAACAAACAGCTTGGCAGATAAGACCCCAAGGCTCTACCAAGCAAACGAGGTTCAATCTCAAAGCTTAGTTTGGTTCCGTCCCTTGCACAGGTTAATGGGACCAAGAGTCACCTTAGGAATTATGCAGCACAGAGATGCCTGATATAAAGAGGCCAATATAGAATGCATAATAGGGCCAAGCCCCTAAGACTCTCCCAGAAATCAGTTTCTAGATTCTACAGATGATGCTTTCCATCTGCTTTACAGTTGCCAAAGCAAATCACGTTTATTCTAAAAACAGATAAGGGCTTGCTCACACCAATCAAAAGCAGGTTTTTATCTACTATTAGTAGGCTGCCTCTTCAGCAGAGACTATCGTGTTCCCCAGCCAGGCTAACTGGCATTAAACCACTTATAAGTACCCACTAACAAGCTAGGTACCCTGGGGAAACTGGACACAAACAAAGCATGGGCCCTGTTCCTTAGCATCTTGCAATGTGGATGGCGAGAAAAGATGCACATATTTGGAGATGACTTGAGATGGCAGTGCAGTCACACTGGCAGGAGAGCCAGGCTTGTGACGCAGGTCTGTGAGTGCCGGAAGCACTGGGCAGAGTCGGCCAGCGCCCTGCAAATCCAACCAACAGAACAAAACTAGCCAGCAGAGGCTTAAGAGGCTGAGAAGCTGAGCTGTTTGTCTTAGGTTGGTAGCCCAGGGTGAATACAGCTATCTCTGGCCAGGCATGTAGCACAGCACAGAGTTGATGAGATCTAGTCCAAGAGCTACTCTGCTTGGGTTCAATTCCTGGCATGGCCACCTAGGTCCCTCATGTGATCTCTCTGTGCCTCCATAGCCCCATCTGTAAAATGGAGACCAATAAACAGCATGCATATCATAGGCATGTTGGGAAAAATGTCAGCACAGTGGCTGGCATGTAGGAAATGCTTGATAAATGTTGGCTATTATCCTGAATCTAAACTTCTAAAGGGGTTCCCTTTTGTTTATGGCAGGAATCAGAATATCCACTCTGAGTCCAAAGACAGATTATGTAGCTCAAAGTAATTTTCATGTTAAATTAGATTTTCTTGGGTGGTAGTGGGGGAGGGCTTAGAATCCTATGAACATGGCATAAGTCAAAAGAGACTGTGACTCAAAGTAAAGGCCATTGTAATCCCAACAAATGCAAGGGCTAGAAACAGAATGAGGCCTGCTTTTCCTGCCAGGGAACAGCAACTGTAGTATCCGAGCAGGGAAGGGAATTAGGCACCAATGAGAAAGCACATCAGCCATGATATCCCAGAACAGCTAGCAGCAGGGCACAAGCCCAACTCCCTGCTGGCAGGACCCCCTCTTCATCCTTCACTGCTATATCCAGATTCCTCCCCAGCACTCGTGCCCTGTCTGGGGAGGACACTTAAAATATTCCTCACAGACTAGACACCAACACCTAACTTTTCTCAGGTCCTCCTAAAGCCAATCCCCTCCCGTCTTCCACTCTTTCCAGAACTTGAGCACATGGGACAGTTCTAGAATGTGCTTGCCTGTGGGAAGCACAGTCTTTCTTTGCCTTCCAGTTGGCCTGCCCTTCTGCCCCCTTCCTTTCAACATCAATGTCCCTTCTGAGGGAGGGCACTGCCATTATGGGAGCGAAGAAGGGGTCGTTGAGTCACCCCCACCTCCTCCACCCACCTTGCCTTGGCCTCTCCGGCTCAGAACACAACACAACTCTGAAGAAGTGGATGCTACTGGGCACGGTCCAGACCTGGGGGTGGCTGCAGATTTCAGAAGCCTTCCTACTTCTCATTTTTTCCTTAAGGGGAGGCATCTGCCCATGTCCTGAGTCAGGGGGATGTTTGGGTTAAGTTCCACAGGGCATCCAGTGACAGCAGACCTTCTATGTGTCCGGATTCACTAGCTGGGCAAGCTGACCTCTTCAATGGTCCACTTACTCATCAGATGGATACGTAGAAATGGTTAAATGAGATCATGAATGTGAAGCACATAGAGTTTGAGCCATGATGGCCATCCGCCTAACTGACCACCATTATTATCTATATGGCTATGGTGACTGGTGTCTAGTTTTCTATTCGTTCATTAAACGAACATTGACATATTTTTCTAGCATCAACCATGTTTCTGGCACACAGTGGTAACAGACAAACGTGGTCCCATCCCTCGAGGAATTTAGGGTCTAGTTGGGGAGTGATATGGTTTGGCTCTGTGTCCCCACCCAAATCTCATCTCAAACTGTAATCTCCATGTGTCACTTCCCTGGTGGGTAGTGACTGGATAAAGGGGGTGGTTTCCCCCATGCCATTCTCATGATAGTGAGTGAATTCTCATGAGATCCGATGGTTTAAAAGTGTTTGGCCATACCCCCTTAATGCTCTCTCTCTCCTGCCGCCTTGTGAAGAAGGTCCTTGCTTCCCCTTTGCCTTCCACCATGATTGTAAGTTTCCTGAGGCCTCATTGGCCATGAAGAACTGTGAGTCAATTACAAATGGACTCTTTCCTTTATAAATTGTCCAGTCTCAAGTATGCTTTATAGCAGTGTGAAAATGGACTAATACAGGGAGACAGCCAGAAAACAATTAAAGAAAGGAAGAAACATCATTTCAGGTTGTGAAAATGCTATGAAAGAAACCAATGGAGTTTGTGACATAGGATAACAAGAAGGAACTTACTTTAGAAACAGCAGTCGAAGAAGGCCTCACTGAGGTGACATTTAAGCTAAAAAGGAATGATGAGAAGAAGCTAGCCATGTGGAGAGGAGGGGCTTGATGGGTCCAAGAAATGAAAAAGTCAGTACGGCTGCTGTGCCATCACAAAAGGGATAGTGTCATTTGGTGAGGGGGAGAGCTGGGCAGGGGCTAGGTCTGTAGTCCTTGGTAAGAAGCTTAAATTTTATCCTAAGGGTAATACAAAGTCTCTGAAAGGTTTTAACCAAGAGAGGGTATCTCATATAGATGTACCAGACTTTAATTATTCACAATAAAAATTCCTATTTACTCCTATCGAGCACTCACTGTGTGCTAGGCTCTAGGCTAAAAATTGTGCATGCATTATTCAGGCAGGGCATGGTAGCAATGGGGACTAGAGTGATGGAGATGGGGATGGAGAAAAGTGCAGAGATTTGAGAAGTGAATAAAGGAAAAGAAAGTGGTCAGGCTTTGCTGACAGAGTGAAGAGGACCCAGGGTAGAGCCTGGCTGAGACACTGCCACTGGCTTCTCAAGCTATCCCATCATCATCATTCTTATCATATCCCTATCAGAACTATCATTTAACCAAAGAACAAGACAAGATTAAATCAATTAGTCAACTTCTTTAAAACCATTATAAACACTGCACAATGTGCTAAGTGAGAAGCACATGCTAAGTTATTCTGTACTCTAGAGAACTCTAGTACTCCATGTTCGGGGACTTCGGAGTCTCGCTCTGTCACCCAGGCTGGAGTGCAGTGGCGCGATCTGGGCTCACTGCAAGCTCCGCTTCCCGGGTTCACGCTATTCTCCTGCCTCAGCCTCCCAAATAGCTGGGACTACAGGTGCCCGCCACCACGCCCGGCTAATTTTTTGTATTTTTAGTAGAGATGGGGTTTCACCATGTCAGCCAGGATGGTCTCGATCTCCTGACCTCGTGATCTGCCTGTCTCGGCCTCCCAAAGTGCTGGGATTACAGGCTGGGGACTTTTTATTAACCTATTTCCAATGGCTGAGTCTAGAAATATTTTCCAAAAGAACCTGACAATTGCTAAATGAGCCGATGGACTTAAATCAGCTCCAAGGACAAAACCAGAGAATTAACCTAGAGACCCAAAGTCCTAGTGCTATTTAGCAACTACAACAGTGCTGCTAGTACAGTCGGTGTAACCAAGCACAAAGGGCTTCTTACTGCATCACACAGCCTGTCAGGCACAGACGCAGAACAACATCAGGCTCAAAACAGTCACAGAGCCTTGAGCCCAGGAATGGCTTCTCGTAAGTGCAGCAGGAGAATAATTCCCGGAATATGGATTCTTTCAACCATAGCATGAGTAACAATATCAGTTGCCATGTTTTTGTCGAAACAACAATGCATGTCTGGGTTCAGAACCTGCTGGGAAAAGATTAAGCTGAAAGGGTCTAACCCACCCCTCACCATGGAGAGCACGTACACTCCTGCAGGCATTCTGGAAAACCTTGGCCATTTTCATCAATGCATGGGTGAATTTCAAAACAATATGCAACAGTCCAAGTGAGAAAACAAAAACAAAGTGAGAGGAGAAAAACACTTTCTAAAGCTGAATGCCTTGGGTCTGTCATCCTCCTGCACCTGGAAAGAATGTGTTAACTTGCAGGTAAGAAGAGAGAAAGGTATCATGCTTATCTGACCTGGCCTCAGCCCCAGACCTGGACAAAGGTTGTCATTTTTGGAAGCTAGCCATTCACCTACTTAGTAAAAATCTTACACCGAAGCCACTGCAGGGGACAGGCAGGATTATAAATCATAACAAGATGGAGAAGGGACAAAAGAAAAATGAAGGCTGGAACTGGAAGAAACAGCCACTTCTTGGAAGGGGAATTGTCCCATTCTCATTAATTACCCTCCGGAGCTGCAAAAATCCAATCTGGGCACATGGTCTGATTGACACATCACTGATCAAACTAGGTCCGTTTGCAGAATATGCAGCCATCAGGGATGATTCTCCTTGCATGAAGAAGTTTTATTTTTTTATCTCAGCCTTCAGTTTGCTCATGTGTCCTTTAATGGAATGAATCAAGTTATGCAGCCTGTGAAAATAATGAATGCAGAGGCCTAAAAGGTGACACATGGGAGCTTGCTCTGAACTTGAACCTGAGACACCACTTTAAGGAATCACCCGAAGCCCAGAGTATTGGTGTCATCTGTCACCTCTGCTCCTCATTTCTTATTCATACTCTTAGCTTAGAACTGTGAGATGTTAAAGCTGGCACACATCTTAGAAATCAAGCTGTCTGGGACTCATGCTGAAGATAAAGAAGCAGTCCCAGCAAGGATGGGTGCCTGTTGCCACACACCTGGCCAACGGCAATTCCAGAATTGGAATAAAAAAGAAGGTCTCCTGAGCACTGGTCCAGCGAGAGCCTTCCTGCCACACTGGGAAATGTTTCTCAGTCCTTTTCATGAATATAATCAATAATGCAAAGCCCTAGAAGGAAGTCAAACAGGTGCTGGAGCTAACAGATTTCAAATGCATCCTGCCAATTGTCCGGTCGGTGTTTCCTGGTCAGATCATGGAGTTTGGGAGCCCCAGCAGGTGGTTCCTGGCTTTGTGTTTTTCTCAAGCTCCCATTAAGCAGAAGGCTTGGCATGGAGGAGAAGAAGCAGATGGTTCTTGCTGAAGTCCAGGTTGCCATATTGGACTTCCACTGCATTCCCTGTTGCTGAAAGAACTTGGAAGATTCATGCCCATTTGAGAGGTGAACGTCTTCCAAAACGAGATGGAGGCAAGGATTATTAAAAACTATGACTGAGATCTGGAGATCAAGATTCCAAAGAGGGAACAGACTATTTTTAAAGTTTCTACTCTTCCCTGGGGGAAGGAAGGATGCCAGAGGCCTCTAAAGGCCACAGATTTCCTCCCAAGGGATGAGTGAAAGCAAATGACATTGATCGCCCTACAATATGTGCTCTTAAATGGGCCACTTCTCACTCTCCACAGAGACCGCCATCCTCTCTCTCCTGGACTGTGGCAGTAGCTGCTGGTCTCCTTGCTTCTATCCCTGCCGATGGCTAAACCAGAGCCACAGCCAACCTCTTAAAACAGGGCATTGGATCCTGTGACTCCCCTGCTACCCGCCTTCCGATGGCTTTGAATACATTTGATGTAGAACCCCGAGTCAGTCCTGTGGTTTGCAGGACCCTCCACGATCTGCTTCCTCCTCTGCAGCGCCCGTGCCGCCGCTCCTCTGACTTCTCCCCCTCGCTTGTTTCTTTCCAGCTCACCACCTCCTCACGGTTGCGGGACACGGAAACCCACTCCCACCCCCTTCGCACTCACTGTTGCTTCCACCTGAAACCTGCTGTCCGTAAATGTTCATGTCTCCCTCCCTTGCTTCCTTCAAATCTCTACTTAAACGTCCCCTCTTCGGATAGCCCTTCTCTGCCCACCCCATGGAGGCTGGCACTTTGCTCACCCCTCGCCCCTATCACTCCTGTGCCCCGCCGGCCGGGCTTTGGGGCAATGTGTTTATCACCTGCTGAGGGGATGCAGTCATCTCTCTCCCCTCTGAGAAGGTGTGTGAGCTCCATGCAGGCAGGACGTGGTCTGCCTGTTCACTGCCCTGTCTCCCTCTGGTGTCTGAGACAATGGCCAGCACAGAGAAGGGGCTCAGTCCATACCTTCTGGCTCGCATGGGATCCGTGCCTTTGAATGAGGTCTGGATGGAGAAAACACAGTTTCTCGTGGAAAACCCAAAGCCAGTGGGCCCTCTAGTTTCTTTGTATACACAGATTTGTTTCCAAATAGATATCCTCCCATCTACCCATGCAGCCCTGTTTTAGAGAGTGACAACCAAGCCTCAGGACACAACACATGGAGGCCTGGCAGGGGTCTGAGGGCGAGGGAACAGCAGTCGAATTCTGGCAGGAAGAGGGCATCCTACTCTCAGATCCCAAGCGTAGTCCAATTCTTGGGCATCTTTCCAAGGAAGAGCTCATCCCACCCACTTCCTAGATACAGCTAGCTTGAGAGTGGAACACTAAGGGAATTAGGAGCGGAAGAGAAAAGCAGGGGAAAGAGAAAAGCTGTCACCAATCGAGATGGATCCCAGAGCCCTCCTGAAAACTCCTGACCTCCCTGAGACAAAAGGCACGTGTTTTCTTCTTCCTGTGCAGTACCTCAAAATGCATCCAGTGAAAACCCAGTCAAGAGCTGCTGTCTTTTTTCCTAAGTCTCTAGAATAAACTGCCAGGTATTTATCTTAAATTAACAAGACTTCTAGTTATCCAGCAGGCCAATGGCTCTACTTCAACAAAGGACTGATTTTTTCCGGGTCTTTGAGAGGACATACGCCTAGGCACCTTCTTCCTTTGTGAGGGAGTATAACATGGCACTAAAGCAGGTTGTGATGTGTTTCAAGTGTATTTTAAAAAATTCCATGCCCAGTAATTGTACATAGAAGAATTCACTCTAAACAGGATGTCATACATCAGACAAAATATTATCTGCAAAGATATTCATCTAAGCACTATTTATAGTGGCGAGGGGGAGCCACGAACCACCTAAATGTCTAAAAATAACAATAATAATGTATGTAAAATTCTTAGCCCAGTGCCTGGCACACAGTGAGTATTCAATAAGGGGTAGATATAACATTGTTATTTTGAATAATTAAAGAGAGTATGGTACATTTATATGATGGATATTTTTGAAGCTTTTGTTTTTCTGTTGGTGTTATCACATGCATATAAAAATGTGAGTAAAAAATAAACTGGCCAGGCATGTTCGCTCATGCTTGTAATCCCAGCACTTTGGGAGGTGGAGGCAGCCAGATCGCTTGAGCCCAGGAGTTTGAGACCAGCCTGGGCAACACGGCAAGACCCCATCTCTATAAAAAGTTAAAAACAAATATTAGCCAGGCATGGTAGCATGCACTTGGTAGTCCCAGCCACTCTGGAGGCTGAGGTTGGAAGACCACTTGAGCCCAGGAGATCAAAGCTGCAGTGAGCTGTGATCACACCACTGCACTCCAGCCTGGGTGACAAAGTGAGACCCTGTCTCAAAAAAAAAGTAAGAAAAGCTTAAAAAATTATACTTTCTGCAGGATATCCATCCATATTTAAAAAAAAACCATCAATATTTCCACACTATCCCAACCTCTATATTTGACAACTGCGCAAAAGGCATATGCCGCCCACCAGATACTCTCTCCACCCTACCACTGCAATCTTTATTAGCCTTCCCTCCCAGAGGCAAGTGAAAAAAAAAACCTTCTGTAATTCGATCAGCATTTTTAGGATCTATTATGTTCTAAGGCCTGACTAGGATGAACATCACAGAAGGGACTGTTGAGAAGATCAGGCCGGAAGCTCATCCTGCCTACGGAGGATCTCTAGTGAGGGAGCAGAGGATTTGCCGGGCACACGAGGCCTTTCCCGGAGGCTGCAAATCAAACAGGCACAACAATCTGTGATGAATAAAGCAACGGCTGCGTTTTATCTCCAGAAAGCACCACTGAGCCAAAATCTGAAATCATGAGCTACATAATTCCTTTGGGGGAGAAATATATCCACAGGGGAGGAAGAAAATAAATCAACAGGCTTTCAGAAAAACTAGGGGTTGGTTGGGTCCCCTCCCCTTTTTCACCTTCATTCACACACACACTCACAAACACACACACAGGACAAGAACACATGCACAAACACACACTCTCTCCCTTTCTTCTAATCGTGCCCTTTTCCAATTAAGGCTGCCATTCAATACTTAGGTTCTGGTGACAACAAAATGAACAAGAAGCTCATTTGTATGTTTTGTTGTGTTGCAAAAACCCCAAGTGGAGTAAAAGAACCCTAAAACACATGCTGTCCGAACGGATTCTCAGGAGAGAAAATCTGACTCTGCAAATGCAGAAAATGGCGTAGCTGGAGGGGGCTTGAGACCCCATCCACCCCGTGGAGGAAACTAGGGTCCACCAAGTGACACTTAGTGTCCCCAAGATGCTACACAGAGAGTGTCCATTTTCTCCCAGCTTCAATATCATCCAACAAATCCTTCATCCTCCACTTTCCTGCTTATTCAATTTATTTAAAATAATGCCTTGACAAGACAGAAGCAGAAAGTCACTTCCCCAAAAGTCAAGACGTCTTTTACGTGTCTCTACTCCAATCCTTTGCAAGTAAGTCACTAGCGTTCAGGTGGATGACAGGGAAAAAAGGAATGAAAAAAGAAACCCGTGTCCCCCTCCATTCAGATCATTTCCATCTAAGTAGGAAGCCTGTGTTCACCCAGATACCAGTAGGCTGGTTCCTTTGTTTAAACAAAAGCTTTCCTGAAAGCTGCAGGGAACCAGAGGGCAGGAATTCTTAGCAAGAATTTTCTCTTAGTGAAACAGGAAGTGCCCTGGTGGGAATGTCTTGGCCTGGTTTAACAATTCTGGAAATTCGGTGTGGCGAGGTAGGCTTTGTGTGAATGTGTGTGACTAGCAGGTTCACCCAAGGAGCTATTTTAAACCCAGCTTGCGTTAATTGGCTATTTCTCCTACATGTACCTCATTTTACACACACATCCTCCAGGTAGAAGAGCAAGTCCAGGAATGAACAGGCCACTTACAAAGTACTGCATGTCCGACGGTGGCAGAGACACCCCCTTGCAGCTGGGTTACTGAACACATTCTTGAAAACCAACCAAGTGAATGCCTTTGAAAGTCTGTCTCATTTCCAAAAGACAATAAGGGAATGAAACCCCAGACAGTGTTAGATTTCAAGATAAATATAGACAGTCCCCTACTTAAGAACAGTTTGATTTACAATGTTTTGATGTTAAGATGGGTTTATTGGGGATATTAAATGTATTTTCAACTTAATATTTTAACTGACAATGAGTTTATTAGAATGTTGAGCCCATCTTAGGTCAAGGAGCATTTATCTGTGTAATATGCCTGACACCATACCTGACACACAGGAAGCAACGTATAAATACCCAAACTCCTCACCCCAGCATTGAGGCCAGATTCCCAATGACAGATGAAACTCATGCACCATGACACACACACAGACACGCCTGAAATATATGATAGTTGGTCTGTTCATTGAGGACCTGTCATGCGCAAAGCTCGAGGCAAGCGGCTCTCCATGAGTGTCGCAGGTTGCCCTGAGAATGTGGTCAGGTCCACTTTACCATACAGAGGAGGAGGGTGTTTAGGGTGCAGGTTACTGAGCCAAGGGCATTCAGTGAGTCGGTAGCAGAACCGGGGGTGGGCCCACTTTGATATGGAAGGCATCCTCTTCCCACTACATGGCCCTACATGAAGTTCCTTCACTTGAAGTATTTCAGAGATAAGTCCTTCCTTAGACATCCTTTTTGATCTACCTCCCGCCCGAAGCAAGAGCATCCTCAGCAGATGGTCATTCATCCTTTCTTTTTGTTTGTTTTTTTTGTTTTTTGGAGACACGGCTTTGCTCTTGCTGCCCAGGCTAGAGTGTGATGGCGTGATTGTGGCTCACCACAACCTCTGCCTCCTGGGTTCAAGTGATTCTCCTGCCTCGGCCTCCTGAGTAGCTGGGATTACAGGCATGTGCCATCATGCCTGGCTAATTTTGTATTTTTAGCAGAGATGGGGTTTCTCCATGTTGGTCAGGCTGGTCTTGAACTCCAGACCTCAGGTGATCCACCCGCCTCAGCCTCCCAAAGTGCTGGGATTACAGGCGTGAGCCACTGTGACCAGCCTGGTCATTCACCCTTTTTTTAAAATAATTATAATGGGCTCAGAGAGTTACCACTCCATTGCTGAGCTCAGGTCTAGTGGCCAAAAATTTTGCCTCTACAATGGGTTGGAGGCTGCCCTCACATAACCCTGATGCATTGGTTCTGGGTATGCTCATTTCTTTAACAGATTTGCCAAACATTAGGAAGATGATGATGATGATGATGATGGTGACCACGGTGATCACATCAACGCTTATCTTAAATCCTCTTTAAACAGAGAAGCCATATTTCAAGGGGTTCCCTCTCAAACTTACCCCATTGAGTACAAATTGGACATGTGGAGGTGAACAAGAGAATACTTTAATACTTACCCTAAATAATGGAACAACATAAAACTATTAAAATCAGGTTTCAAAGAAGACTCCATACCATGTAAAGATACCCACACGCTCTTAAGGAGAAAATTGGAAAAACAGTATAATCATTATTTTGTTTTAAGAACTATGTGCATATAAAAATGTATAGAATATAGAAAGAAATGCAAAAATATTAATAGTGGTTATTCCTCATTGATACAAGGGTTTTTTTTCTTTCAAAAAGTCTTCCTTTTATACTTTTGCATCATTTTGAAATTTTACAAAGGTTTTAAAAACAAATTTGGAATTATCCATCCAATCTAGAGAACTTCTCATGAGGGGACAAATCATATAAACATTATAATAATAACAACAATAACTGTAGCAGCTCCAAAATTTATATTGCACCTAGCATATGCCAAGCAGTATTCTGAGGGCTTTATATATATTAACACATTTAATTCTTTTTTTTTTTTTTTTTTTTGAGATAGGGTCTCATCCTGTAGCCCAGGCTGGAGTGCAGTGGTGCAATCTAGGCTCATTGCAGCCTTGACCTCCTGGGCTCAAGCTATTCTCCCACCTCAGCTTCCCAGGCAGTTGAGACCACAGGCACATGCCACAATACTGGGCTAATTTTTTGTTTATTTTGTAGAGATGGGGTCTCTCTCTGTTGCCCAGGCTGGTCTCAAACTCCTGAGCTCAAGGAATCCTCCCACCTCAGCTTTCCAAAGTGCTAGGATTACAAGTATGAGCCACTGAGCCTGGCCTAACACATTTATTTCTTACCACAACCTGTTGAGTTAGTTACCATTGTTGCCACCATTTTAAAGATGAGAAAACTGAGATCGGAAAGATTAAGTCACTTGTTCCGGGTCCCAGAAGTAGTAAGAGGAAGAGCCCAGACTTAAATCCAAGCAGTCTGGCCCCAGGTGTCCTGTGTTCTTGGCCACTACCCTGGGGCTGATGTTCCCCAGGCCAGAGCTAAAATAGACAGGATTAGGAGGATTGGGAAACAGCTCAAAAATCTATTTGAAAATTGTGAGCTTGTTAAAGTCCCTCATGGGGTTGCTCAGAGAGATAAACCAGAATTGGCAGTCCTCATTCAGATCTGAAAGCTTCAAGATCTTCATCCCATGCAGCTTCCTCACCAGTATACACATTCTGACATCTCCCATCCTGGCCTCTGTCAAATCTCACCCAGAAAGCCAACTAAAAATAGTCTCCATCCGGCTCTGACAGAAATGATGATGACAGCCAGGTTCAGGAAAAGGGTCTAGGCCAGGGGTGTCCAATCTTTTGGCTTCCCTGGGCCACATTGGAAGAAGAAAAAATTGTCCTGGGCCACACATAAAATATACTAATGATAGCTGATAAGCTAGGAAAAAAAAAAAAAGAAGAAGAAAGAAAGAAAAAGAAACTCGCAGAAAGAAAAAAATTCACATTTTAAGAAAGTTTACGAATTTGTGTTGAGCCACATTCAAAGCCGTGCCGGGCTGCAGGCTGGACAAGCTTGGTCTTCCGCCATGCTGCTCACACAGAAGCAGGCTCACGCCAGGCAGTGCCAGTTGGGTTTCTGAAGTAGCTCTACCTCTAAGTCTCCAGGGCACACGATGCGAGATGCAAATATCACAGAGCTTTCTAGGCAGCCAGCAGACGTGGAAAGCAGGTTAGTCAGGCTATGATTCAGTCTCCAGCTCTCTCCCTTCTCCCCTGGCTTGGCTGTGCCTCCTAGGAGGGAGTTCTGGGCCAAGAAGGCCACACACGCCCCCAGGCAGGCCACAGGCCCAGACTGCCTGGTCCTATAATACAGAAGATATGAGAGCCAGGAAGCCACAGAAACAGGCGTCAATGGGGCTTGGTGTCCCACACACAACCCCAGATTCATCAGACTCCAGCTCTTACTGTGCCATCTGGGCCACAAGGGAAATGGGAGCAGTGAAGTGGAGCTGGACCAGGAACCAGACACGAACCTACTCTGCTCCCAGGAAAGTAACTATGACCTCTGCGTCACTGTCCTTTGGTCTCTCAAGGATCCCACTTCCATTGCCTGTCCCTTAAACGCCCGGGAAGCGGCCTCTACCCCCTAAGAAGGTGAATGAATCCCCTGCTGGTGTTCTGAAGGCACCCGAGGTAGGTGAGGTCCAGGGAGCACCTGGGACAAGCAGAAGGAACAAGCCCCCTGAGGATGCGGAAGCAGAGTGACCAGGCCCATCGCAAGGCAACCCCTGAGCGAGGGATAATGCAGGACCTTATGAGCAGAAGCGGGGCTAACAACCAGCAAGGCCAGAGGACAGGCAGCCCTTTGCCAAAGGTGTCGACTTCTGCCCAGCTTTCTCTTGTTCTGGCAACGGCTGTCAGTGTCTGTTGGTGGAAGAACATGCCCCTGGTGCCAGAAGGCTGGGGTTTGAGTCTCATCTCTTTCTCATATCTGTGTCTTGGGGGAGGTTACTTAACTTCTCTGGGCCTCAGTTTTCTCCTCTGCACAGCAGAAATATAATCATATCTCTCTCACAGTTATTGTGATGAGCGTGGCAAAGCATTTTTTGTAAACTACAAGGAAGCGGGCAGTGGCTCCGAAGTTGTGTGTGATTGGACCTCACAGGACAAAACTGAGGTAACAGAGGATCACAATGCACCTTTTTCAGTTTGATATAATCATCTTGAAATTACATTTATCAGGATCATACAGAGTCTTCCCAAAACTGAAGGCCATGCATAACTTGTCCACCTCAAGCCCTTTGAACAGAGAACATGCATGTAGAGACTTCCAGAAAAATCCAATAACTGTTATCCAAATGGTCAAAAATCCAGCTGGGCTCAAGTGAGGTAACAGACATAGAAAACTGTGAAGAGTTAAAAACATGATGATAAAAAAGGACTTTGTTGGCCAGGCGCAGTGCCTCATGCCTGTAATCCCAGCACTTTGAGAGGCTAAGGCAGGCGAATCCCTTGAGCCCAGGAGTTTGAAACCACCCTGGGCAATATGGTGAAATCTCATCGCTACAAAAATTAGCCCGGCATGGTGGTGTGCACCTCTAGTCCCGCCTACTCAGCAGACTGAGGCAGGAGGATCGCGTGAGCCCAGGAGTTCAACGCTACAGTGAGCTGTGATTGTACCACTGCATTCCAGCCTGGGTGACAGAGTAAGAGCCTGTCTCAAAAAAAAAGGCTTTGTAATAAACTTTTCTGATGTTTTTCAGAATTCAATTTGTATAAATTTGAGACATCTACATTTCACAAATGTGATTATCCCATGCGATAATAAAGGAAGGTTTATCCCACTATTTCCTAAGCCTGGAGCTTCCTTAGACTTGTACGTAATTCCTGGTGCCCCTGACAGGCACCTTTCCAGCCTCTACGGAATCTTTAGCAGCCCCACGACACCAGGCTGAGCCTCGTGACATTGTGGCCACCAAGCGTGGGAAGGAACTACTAAACTTCAAAGTTGACTCAACCAAAAGAGAAAAATCGCAAGTCCCCGATGGAAAGGTGTTGATGGCTCTCTTTTCAAACACCTCCACGCCTGGCTGGGCACAAAGGCCTGACAGTGCCCCGAGCTACATCAACACAAGCTGGGTTCAAAGACTCACAGGTCTAAGCATCCTGGGCACCACAGAGATAGGAAAGTCCATGTGGAAACAGATCGTCTTTTCTATCAACCATGTGTGAATTTTGAACTCCTTTTCTTCTCAGTGTTAGAAAAGGAAAACCAACCCACTTTGCGGTCTCTCTGCGGTGTCTTTAGAAGGCCAGTTCCTTTACGTGCCTCTCAAGCCCATGCTGAATTTCTCTGTTCTCGTCCTAGTGCCTCTTTTGACAAGCCACGAGCCTCACTCAGCCCAGAGTGACACTTATCACTGGGCCGTGTGAAAACTGGGGGGCTGGGGAGGAAGTGAGAAGGATGCGAAAGCCGAGGCGGGAGGAGGGGGTGCCGCCTGAGGCCCTTGCGGCCAGCAGTGGAAACGCAAACTTGACATTTCCATTTTCCATCACCTTCTGATCTCAGGCCCCCAGTGCGATGCGATGCGCTGGCTTTTCATTTCCACTCCCTTTCACACCCAGCACATTAAAGGCCGCTGCAAGAACAACAATGGAAAAAGGCTCAGGGCTTTAAATCACGAAGCCTGGGGAAATTCAACAGTTGCTATCTCCAGCTTCTCTACCCAAAGCACCAAAAAAGCCTTCCCTGAGGGAGTCCAGGCCCCCTCCCAGGGCGGGCGGCAGGAGTACTGCTTTTGATCATCTGTACTTCTGCGGCCACTCTCAAACTTCCCTCCCCAAACACCACAGCCCGGCTGTGAGCTGAAAGAGCTCCCTTTGGCCCTCCATCAGAAGCGGACTTTCTGACCATTCACTAATTCTAGCAAGAAGGTCCACTAAGTATTGTAAAATGTATAGCTTCCCGCCTGCTTTTTCTCTGACCTAGTTAAAAGCACTGTGTTGGACATACATCTTCTCGACCATATGAAAAGTGGGAATAAATGTCTTAATTGGTACCAAGTCCCTGAGCACGTGAGCCAGCTTGCTAGATGCTCAGACAGGACTCTACAAACATGAGCCCAGGTCATATATTTACTAAGATGTGCTCCCAGGTGGCTCTCAAATGGCACAAAGAGGAAAGACCCCAGCAGAAATCAAGATGGGTGGGAAGCTGTTCTTTTCATGAGAGTGAAAAGACTGGAGCTATCTCATTTTGGGCTGAGAAGCCCTGGCTGGCCATAGCACAGCTGCCAGTAAAGGGAAACAGCGCCACAGGCTGCCTGGAGGAGCTGGTCTCCTATGCGGCAGACACTGGCTGTCAAAGGGTTGTGTGGCCCCAACGTGAAATAATGGCTGTACTTATGAATTGGTTTGTTTATATGCCATCAACCAGGATGCTCTGCCAGCTTGCTGCTTTAAGAACGACAAACTATTGAATGCAATTGAATGCCTATCGAATGCAAAGACCTCAGGGAATTTCAGACACAGGGAGAGGGTGAGTTCCACGGTCCTCTCAGACAGAAAAGTTTGGGTTTACTGCTAGCCAAAAACCAGGAGTACAACAGGAACTGCTGACGTCATAAAGCTTGGCCAGAAACGTAGTCAGGTAGTGCCCTGAGCACAGCCTAGACACTGGCGCTCTAAGAAACAGCCCTTTGCCCAAGGCTATCTGGAAGAAATAGAACAGGGCACAACACAATAGTGTGGCAGGAAATCAACTGAGTGGGTTGGCAAAGAGCATCTTTCTTAAAAGAATAGAAGAGAACATAGAGTGTACCCTAGGTAATAAGGGAAGTATTATTTTGTAAAACATTTAAGTTTTATATATTCATATGTATGAATATTACATAGATATGTAATATATACATTATTATACAAATATGCTACTATACATATATATACACACACATGCATGTATAGAGTGGTATGGCAGGTTGTATTTTTCAAAAGTGATCACACTACTTCTCATCTCACATGTTCTTCCAGAACCTTGCCACTTCCTGATGAAGAAGTGAAATATATGTCCTTCCCCTTGAATTTGGATGGATCTTTGGGACCAGCTTAATGAAAAAATATGCAGTGGAAATGGCACCATGTCACTTCCAAGGGTCAGCTATAAAAGGTGATCACAGCTTCTGTGTAGCTGCACTCTGTAGGAATGCTTGCTTTTAAAATCCAGCCAGGCCGGGAGCAGTCGCTCATGCCTGTAACCCCAGCACTTTGGGAAGCAGAGGCGGGTGGATGACTTGAGGCCAGGAGTTCGAGACCAGCCTGGCCAATGTGGCGAAACCCCCTCTCTACTAAAAATACAAAAATTAGCCGGGCATGGTGGCACACATCTATAATCCCAGCTACTTGGGAAGCTGAGGCAGGAGAATCACTTGAACCTGGGAGGCAGAGGTTGCAGTGATCCGAGATCACACCACTGCACTCCAGCCTGGGTGACAGAACGAGACTCCACCTCAAAATAAATAAATAAGTAAATAAATAAAAATTAAAAAATAAAATCCAGCCATTGCACTGTGAAGGAACCCGAGCCACATAGGGTATGGCATCAAGCATAAACAGAGTGCAGGGATTGGCCACAGTGTTATCCATATTCTCAACACTCCTATTATGGGGTTCCCATAGAGACGGGCAGCTTGTGTACAATGGGGAAGACTTAATGAAAGAAGCTCTTGGAGTCCACCTATGGCAGGAGTAGTGGGACAGCGGGTAGGGAAAAGTATCCTTGTGGCCTCCAGCACAGCCTCCAGACAGTGGAAACCAGGGCTATCTGTGGGTCTTGGGTGGTCTGCCCTACTCCCTCCTCCTCCTGTCAGGCTCGCTACCAAACTCTACTCCTCACCCTCTCTTTCTCCAGGACTCCCTCCCATCAGGATACCTACCTGAGGACACTCCATCTCCAACTTTTCAGGTAACCTTCTCCTGCCCTCTCTACAGTCCAGCCATCATACGAATGCCTTATATGTGCTTCATCTCATTTGATATTCACTGCCATATTTATACATCGGGAAACCGAGGCATAAAGAAAGCAGTGAAGGCATTTGTCTCAGGTCAAACAGCTAATAAGTCTGGGTTTGGGACTGAATCAGGGCCATTTAATTTCACATTGCTTATTTTGAATCACTATGTTATATTCTGCAAAGAAGAATGAGTTGGAGAAGGGAAACTGAAATCTATGGGCCTGAGGTTAGTGGTGGTGGGGACTATGATGATAGCACCTGCTCTGCCACGGTCTGTGCTGTGTACCACACGGTTATGGTGTCCAATCTTTACCACTCTAGGCAAGTAAGATTATTATTATTGCCCATTTTGCAGATGAAGAAACTGAGGCTCAGAAATGTTAAGCAATTGTTCCAAGGTCATTTAGTCTGAGTCAAGATTCCATCCTGGACCTCCTATTCTTTCTACTCTACCACTCATATTCTCTCCTCGTCCAAAAGGAGCATGATGGTACCACCTTGTCTTGACTAGCCGCACTTTCACACAGGTTCATTTGGACTTTCAGTTTCTCTGTGATCTTTCTTTAAAGTCATACGCTGAAAGAGCCTTCCCTCCAGATAATTCCACACTCACCAATAGGGCCAAATGCCCTTTTAGCTACAGAGCTTGGTGGCACTTTTCTAACTAAAAAACTGCACCCACTCTCTTCTCTGAACGGCCCTACTCCAATTAGCATTATGCAAATTTTATTTTAAGAATGAAGCTTTTCATCTGTGATGAGAAAGAAACCAAAGCAATAAAGGACCCAGCACCTCAATACAAACTTAAATGACCACTTACATTTAGTTCCCAGGTTGCACCAAGTATGAAATGTCACCAGCTAAAAATCTCTAATTAAAGTCATTTTCCCAAAGTCCCTCCTTCCTTTTGCCTGCCTTCAAAATCCAAAGCTTGGCAGAAATATTTGATTGTTCAGAGCCTGTGCCTCTAACGGCAGATTTCATGAAAAAAGCAATTCTCTCCACCCTCGGTATTCAAAATCACTAAGAGACCATTTCCTCAGCAGCATTCTGCCTCTACTCTGTTAACACAGCTCAGGGAGGAGAGGGTTCTCATTCCCCGGTGACTCAGCCCCAGCAAGGCCCAAGTCACACACCACATGGCTTCTGAACCCACTCTGAGCAGGCAAACATCAAAACAAAAAACCAACAGGTGTAACAGCACAAGTCCATTCAGAAACAGAAGACAGCCATTTTCCACACAACTAATCACCAGATTTCTTCCTGGTTAAGTAATATTCTTTTCTTTTCTTTTTTTTTTTTTTTGAGATGGGGGCCCAGGCTGGAATGCAGTTGTGCAATCATGGCTCACTGCAGCCTCGACCTCTTGGGCTCAAGTGATCCTCCCACCTTAACCTCCCAAGTAGCTGGGACCACAGGCATGCACCACCATGGATAGTTTTTATTATTATTATTATTTGCAGAGATGGCATCTCACTAGGTTGGTCTCAAAATCCTTGGCTCATGCGATCTTCCCACCTTGGCCTCCCAAAGTGCTAGGATTACGGTGTGAGCTACCACGCCCAGCTTAATGGTATTCTAAACAGACAAGAACCTTAGGAAGAAAACAGAAGAGGGAGACAGGGTGAATTTCCTATTTCCACGTCAGCCAAAGGTGACGCTTCTGCCAGAGGGAAACTTCAGGAAAGGGCATCAAAAAAGAAAGTAACCCCATCCAGTCCCTTACCTTGCTGTTATCACAACACCCAGCTACACGGTTTCCCTTGAGGTTCCAGCCTGTGGCCTGTGCACATCCTGCCATATCACTATGGTTGTTCCCTGAGCGGGCAGCACAGAGGCTACTGCAGCCTCTCCTCCCACCTTGCTCTGTCTCCTGTGCATCTGTCTCCCCTTCCTACACTGTAACTGCATATCCCACCAAACCTTCATCCATGCAGTGACAGAAGACAGAGTGTCAATAAACAAAGCAGCAACTTGCCCCAAACCAGCTTCCTCTCCTATATCTCTGGTCATATAACACTGCTCATAGAACATCACTGGTCACATGTACAAGTTAATTAGAAACATCCAACATTTACTCATGCAGCCCCAGTCTACATGATCAACATGTGGCTAAGCCACAGTCTGCCTAATTTAGGGTTTCTCAATGGCAGCATGACTGACATTTTGTGCTGGGTCCCTTTTTTTTTTTTTTTTTTGAGATGGAGTTTCACTCTTGTCACTCAGGCTGGAGTGCAATGGCACAATCTCAGCTCACTGCAACCTCCACCTCCAGGGTTCAAGCACTTCTCCTGCCTCAGCCTCTCAAGTAGCTGGGATTACATGCACCTGCCACCACGCCTGGCTAATTGTTTGTATTTAGTAGAGATGGGGTTTCACCATGTTGGTCAAGCTGGTCTCAAACTCTTGACCTCAGATCATCTACCTGCCTTGGCCTCCCAAAGTGCTGGGATTACAGGCGTGAGCCACCAGCCCTGGCCTTTGGGTCACTTTTTGTTGTAGGGAGCTGACTGTCCTGTGCATCATAGGATATTTAGCAGCATTCCTGGCCTCTACTCCTAGATGCTGATAGCTCCTCAATTGGGACAACCAAAAATGTCTCCAGACATTGCCAAATATTCCCTGGAGGGCAAAATATTCCCCAGTTGAACATCACTGGGTTAAGCTAAAGGAGGACTTTCATGGAAGAAAGCCTTGAGGGGAGTTTTCATGTGGGGTTGGGGTGGGGGAAGTTTTCTTTTGTCCTTCATGTTGCATTCCCTCTCTCTTCAGTGCACTGAAGAGAGAGACATTGCATTGAGAGGTGACATTGCATTCCCTCTCTCTTCAGTGCACTGCCAACAGCTTCACCCAGAATGCCTACAACTTCCTCTCTCCTCTGCCCAAACCATGAGAGTCAGTCAGAGAGCCGACTCTCCCATTAAGGCTCCCTCAGCCCGTACAGATCACCTGTTCCAGTTCCCAAAGGCGCTTATCTGCAGACTATCGTCTCAACAAACATTTTCATAGTCTTATTGTAAGGCCTGCACCAGGCCCCTGAATACTAAGAGGAAGTAAACACAGTCCTGAGAAGCACCACAATTTATGAGAGCATCAGAGTCACAGCCAGTGTTACAGCCTGTGTGGGGCAAGTGGAGGCCACAATGGGAACGGGGAAGTCAAGGACAGGGCATTATGGGAACACAGAAGTCAGGCGCAAGGCATTAGGGGAATATAGAGGTCAAGTGCAGGGCATTATGGGAACACAGGAATCAAGTGCATGGCATTATGAGAACACAAATCAAGTGCAGAGCATTATGGAAGCACAGAAGTCAAGTGCAGGGCCTTATGGGAACACAGAAGTCAAGTGCAGGGCTTTATGGGAACACAGAAATCAAGTGCAGGGCATTATGGGAATATAGAGGTCAAGTTCAGGGCATTATGGGAACACAGGAATCAAGTGCATGGCATTATGAGAACACAAATCAAGTGCAGAGCATTATGGAAGCACAGAAGTCAAGTGCAGGGCCTTATGGGAACACAGAAGTCAAGTGCAGGGCTTTATGGGAACACAGAAATCAAGTGCAGGGCATTATGGGAACACAGAAGTCAAGTGCAGGGCATTATGGGAACACAGAAGTCAAGTGCAAGGCTTTATGGGAATACAGAAGTCAAGTGCAGGGCATTATAAGAACACAAAAGTTAAGTGCAGGGTACATGGGAGCACAGAAGTCAAGCACCTAACTCTTGAACTGGAAGGAGAAGTAGACATCCAGAAAAGCAAAACATAAAAGACCAGTAAAAATCAGCCAGGCAAATGAAACAGGGAAGGTACTCCTTGAAGACAGTAAATAGAAGCATAGTAGGTTCTCAGAAGAGCAGGCTACAGGCCAGAACACAGCAGAAGAACCAAAAACAGCAAGGCAAAACGTGGTTGGAAAAATCAGAGGCCTAGAGAATTTGCTACATGTTCAACCAGCATCTGACCCTTCAACAGACCACTTGCGGCAGCAAGGTCACTGCAGAAACTCACACATCCTGAGCGGCACATGTCTCAAACCAAACACCTCCAGGGCAACCGTAGACCTGCCCCTTTCTAGAGCTTTCTCTTTCTGAGCACCTCCAAGCACATTCTGTGCTATACTCACAAACATCCCAGCCTTCATGTCCTTACAGAAGGGGGTTTGGGGACTGCAGCCTTGAGCTACAACTGCCGTCTCTATTTACCTACCCGGGAACAGAGTGCTAATAAAGAAACAACAAGCAATGGAACTCAAACACAGAGCAGCAGAGAACCCTTGAAGAGTGTGTCTTTGACCTGTAAAATATTGGTTGTGGTAGAGGTGCTAATTCCCTACTTGCATCCTGAACAAGTTACCTTTGCACATGCTGTACCCTCTGCCGGGAATACACTTTTCCTCCCTCTCTAATTTCCTATTCATACTCTCCTCTCAAATAAGACTTCCTTTACTCACGAACTACTTCAGACCCCTGGCATATGCTCTTATTTCTCTTTCATCTCTCTTATTATAATTGTAATTAAATAATCAATGGTGTGTTTTCCTGTACTAGACTGTTAGCTCCAAAGAAACTATACCAGTCATGGGCACCATCCCTCCAGGTGGGTTTGCCCCAGTAAGACCCGCAGTACATCCAAGCAGGTTGTTGCATTGTTGAGAAACTTCTGTGCTGGTTGGTAAACAGCTACTGCTCCAAGCCCACTGCATGCCTTCCCCGGAAGCTAGACTTGATCCAAACCATGCAATGACTCTTTATAATATGGTTTCATAGCATTTCCTGTGCACAAAGTGTGGGCCCTAAGTAACAGGCTAGCTGGGAACTTTGAACTTTTGCCTGCTGTTCTTGACTAATAAATTTGGAAAAGTTGGGTTTCTTCTCCAGCTAGCTATGTTTTTAAAACCCTAATATTATAAATATAGGAATGGAAGAGAGGGGTTAGGAGTGATGGTCAAAGGAGATTTTAGCACACATTCATGTTTACAAATATAATTAGAAACTAACTTTAATGAACTTTCTCTTACATGAGTAGAATATCTGGAAGGATTTACAAGATACTAGAATCACAGAAATGAAACCCAATTTGCGTTCTTGACTTCTAGAAACATTCATCTCTGTTATCGGGGAGTAACAGTGGTTTCTCCAAGAAGGGGAGTTGGGTGACCAGAGGATGGAGAAACAGGAAGATTAACATTTCATACTTTACTCTTTTGTACCTTTGAATTTTGAATCACATGTGTGTATTACCTGAGCTAAAAGTATACAAACATGTTTTTAAAAATTAAATTTTGAAAGCACATAAATAAACTTTAATTTAAAAATGAAAGTAAAACATGAATATGTTCCTTGTTAAAACAAGTCTAACACTACAGTAGGAAATAAAATGAAATTAAGTTTTTCCCTTGCCAACTCCTGTTCATTCCCCAAATAAAACAGTTGTAAAAGTTTCTTATATATTCTCCTAGAATATCTATCTTTTAAACATAATTAACACAAATGGATCATGCTCTGCATTCAATTTCACATATTAAGTTTTCACTTACTGTATCTTAGAGATCTTTCCATATCAGCATATGCAAATCTAAATTATGGTTTTATAGGCTGCATAATAGTGTGTTGTATTAATATGACACAATTCACTTAACCCATTCCCCTATTTACATAGACACATATGGTGTTTCCAGTTATTCAGTATTATAACCAATGCTGCAATAAATAGTTGTGCTAATGTAGCTAAATGAATTTCCACAAGTCGATTTGCAAAGGTGAAGGGTGACGATTTTCACCTTGACCGCTATTGCTGAATTGCTGGGCACATACTTAATCATTCTGTGGCTTTATTTTCTCCATTTCGTATATGAGAAAATGATTGATGAGCTATCGGATTACTCCTATAAAAGGCTTGGCTAGCCTGAGAAATATGAAGCGAGATCATTTTATGTGACATTCTATCAAAGGCACTGTGTTCATTCAGAACTCCAGTTCAGAGCTTTGTGCAGAGCCAGCTCATATGGACAGCCCCAGGCCAAGCTGCTGGTCCAACGGCATCAGCCTCAGAGGCTCTGGGAAAGCAGGGCCTGGATATCCCTTGGCCAAGTTGTGTTTATCTCCTAAAACCACTTTCAGAGGGAAAGTGTGAGTAAGGTATGAGAAAAAGGGAAAGGCTGACCCAAATGAGGTGGGTCTTGGTGAAGGCAATGATGAAAAGTCAGGAAGTTCTACCCTCAAAGCCTCTCCCTGCTCTCAAAGCTCTCCCAATACCCAACCTGGTATTGGGTTTCTGCCTCTCCCTGCTCCATCATCGAGTTCCCTTGATGACACACCAAGCCTCGCTGAAGATTTTATCTTTGAAATCATCCTTTCTCTAACCACAGCAAATGTAGGAGACAGGCTTGAGTAGGACCCTCTTAACTCTAAAAGTCACCTGAAATCCCTCCACACTCCCTCACATGCAGCCAATAGAACTTTCTGCAAGGCTAGAATTGCTCTTTATCTGTGCTGTTCAATATGGAAGCCACTAACCACATGTGACCACTGAGGACTTGAAATGTGGTTAGTGCAACTGAGGAACTGAATTTTTCATCTTATCTTCTTTTAATTAATTTAAATGTAAATAATTGCTTGTGACTAGCGGCTACTATGTTGGGCAGAACAGCTATCATTGTTTTTAAAGTACTGGTGCCTTTTTAGTTCAAACCTCTTATAATCAGCCCATTCAAAAAGACAAACCCACCCTCTAGCAATCATGTAACAGATGGATGTGTATAGATATACAGCAATGCATACACCATGGGCCAAAATACTGATCATGACCTTTGGCAGTCACTGCTATGTCTGGTCAGCACACTGCCATATACCAGACAGAAATCATTACTGGTGCACTTGAGTTTGCAAGAGTAAAGATACTTTACTCATTCTTTGTTCAGCAAACATCTATTTCAGCTATGCTGTGCTGGGCCCTGGGGTTACAGAGAAATAAAATGCTGAGGGAGAAAATGGGTAAAGGAGGAAGGAAGAAAAATAAAATAAAATATGGAAAGAAAGACAAAGAAAAATACAAACTATGTGGTTAGCATTCAGTGCACACTTTTTAACATGTTATTTCATTTATTTAATTTAGTGGATGAGGCATATAAATGCCAAATGGCGATGTTATGTGATGAAGGGTTTAGTAGGCTACACACAAAGAACTTGGGGAGGATCGAAGGGCATACACTAATTTGAGCCTCCTCTTCCATTCCAAAGTGAGATTTTGAAGATTTAGTATTGATGAACCCAGCCCTGAATACCCCCAGTGCACAGTTGTGATCTTCTGTTAAAACTTAGAATACAAAAGCTGTGTGCATTGTGTTTACATAAGAATGAAGAGAAAGGGAAGTTCATTTCAACATGGAAGGCAAGAAGGCAACAAAAATGTTGAGGAACTGAGGATGCAATTACCCTCTTTACAAAGAAAGCTAATTGTAATCACACACAGACTTTTACTATAGCCTGTAACCACTCAAGAGTAGTTCCCAAGCCTCACAGAAAATTCAGTACCATCTCTGAATGTAAAATTATACCTTCTCAAAAATGCATGAAAACAATTAAATTTGAAAAACTGAATGACTAGTCTCTCAATTAGTAATATATTAATATTAATATATATTCATCTACACTGCTGAGCACTTATAATGGACCCAACATATATATTATTTATATCATCTCTAATCGTCATCACCCATCACCCTGTAAAATGAACACCCACTGTTAACATTTTATAGATAAAGAAACCAAGGTTCAGTGACGAAGTACTGATCTAGGATTCAACCCAAACCTTCTGAGGTCTGAAGTCCATACCCCAGCCCAGTGGTGAACATCCTAGCACTAATAAATGCCAGTAAAAACCCCTGAATAAGTGAATCTGTACTGGAGCTGGTACTTAGGTGAAGGTGTTAGCTGGTAATGTTCTGAGAGCAGAATTGTTAATCCAGACACAATGGATTTTATAATTAATACTTATGAAACATTGACAGAAATTGATATCCTATAAGTAGACATGATTTTATACCAGTGAATGAGAACAGAATCATAGAAATGAAAGCCAATTTGCATTATTTCATGTCTAGAAACATCCATCTCTGCAATCAGGGTACTCAGGGATTAACTGGTCTAGATGTACTAGATAGAAGGTTAGGGGTACATTCCCCAAACCTTCCTCACATTTAATTTTCTCAAGACTGCCCCTTGTCTAACACTACAATAAAGTCACATTTTAAAAACTTATCACAATAAGAAGGAGAATCTAGGAACAAACAACTGAAAATTGAAAGAAGATAATGTGTTTCTGTAATTTCAAGTGGATTTGGGTGTACCTGTAGGTCTAAGAAAGTGGCACAGTTGTCAGAAGAGGCTCTGATGCTCAGCCATTTCCCTCAATGCTTCTCTGCAACAACACCATAGGCTTAGAGTATCTGACTGTCTCTGTCAAACAAATGCAAGAATTGCATTCCCTTGCCTCCCTTCTAGCATATGTGGGAACCACCACATTTGCACTTCAGAAGTTTTCTTTGCAGGTAGAGAAACTGAGCTCACCGGGCACAGTAGCTCATCTTGTAACCCAGCTACTCAGAAGGCTTAGTCAGGAGGATTTCTTGAGGCCAGGAGTTCAAGAAGCTGAGCTGGGGATGTTGGTTGTCATTTACTGAGCATTTACTATGTCCTGGCAGTGGACTAATCACCATGCATGTATTATCTCTTTTAATCTTCATGGGAAACATGTATGTTAGATAATACTATCCCCAATTTCTAGATGATGAAACTCCACTATTGAGCTATGAAACTTTTCAAGTCTTAAACAGTGGCTCTCAACATGTTTACCCAGGGTGAGAAGAAGGGAGAATACTTTCAAAGACACCAATGTCTATGATTCACCCCTAGAGACTGTTACACCCTTGCTCTAGGATACAGCCTGGGCATCCAGAGTTTTAAGAATTTCACGGGCAATTCTAATGTGCAGCAAAGACTAAGAACCACTGCACAAAAGCAAGTCAGTAGAGGAGACAGGATTTGAACCCAGGCCTCTCTAATCCCAGAACCTGAGACCTTGACTGCTTGCCCTATACTGCCCTAAAGCTGAAATTAAGAATACTGGATGTTGGCAATCAATGATAATTGTTATAGGATATCCAAGCTTGATCAATCCTAGCATTCCAGGCTGTTCAGTTCTTCCACGGAGTGCCAGGTCTTTCCATTTAAGGGTTAACATTAGTTCTTTTTTTTTTGTTTTTTTGAGATGGAGTTTTGCTTTTGTTACCCAGGCTGGAATGCAATGGCGCGATCTCAGTTGGCTGCAACCTCTGCCGCCAGGTTCAAGCAATTCTTCTGCCTCAGCCTCCCAAGCAGCTGGGATTATAGGCACCCACCACCACGCTCAGCTAATTTTTGTATATTTTTAGTAGAGACAGGGTTTCACCATGTTGGCCAGGCTGGTCTCGAACTCCTGACCTCAGGTGATCCACCAGCCTCAGCCTCCCAAAGTGCTGGGATTACAGGCATGAGCCACCGTGTGTGGCCAACATGAATTCTTTATTTGTGAACCATGTACACCTCCTGGACTGTAATCAGTCCATCTACGATGACTGCTCTCAGAGCCCTAGCTTTGGGCAGCACTCCTCATCGCTAGAAAACCAAGAGTTCGGACTTCCTCCCATTTCAGGACTGGCTGGGTCTCCTGGCAGCAATTTTGCTACCAGATGTTTTCAGAAATCAAAACCAGATATGTTTCCTATTAAATCAGAGAACAGCTTTCAATGTAAACAGTAGTTGGGTAATTACCCTAACATCCCTAGTTCACTTCAAGAAATGCAGAGCTCTTTAAATACTTTAAAATAGTGCTTATTTTGTTATTTTTAAAGCCCCAGCTTTGCCAAAATTTCCCTGGTGTGTGTCTGTCCTGCTCTGGATACATTCTCCACTGCTCTTCTCCTACTGTTCCTCCCCACAGACAGAAGGAACTGCTGCAATCAGCTGTGTATTCAGATGGATGGGAATAAAAAGAATAGGGTTTGGCCTATTACACAGATTACTTCATCTGCTAACCTAAAAGTCCATCAGATCATCGTGAAGAAGTCATCTCACAGTCCACATCTACTAAGGTTGATATAATTTGGTACAATAAGCATTTAACAGTAAGATCTCCTTCCCCAGCCCTTCCCACAGAAGCTAGGGTAGTGCGGTGCCCACACTGGGCCCAAGTTTATTTCTGGATTCTGAGACCTCCCTCCAGCTCTGAAGGTGCATGAGGGTCCACCCTGGACATCTGCCCTTCTTCATCCTCCCACATCCACGCTGCCAGCACACACCTATGGGCTCTGACTTTTCTTCTTTCTAAATGAGTGGGGTTTGGGGTGAAAAACTCCCTATAAAATGACAAATCTGAGATCATTGCAAGTGATAAATCTCTTTCAAACGAAATGTGGCACACGTAACTTACGCATCACATAGATAAACACCCAACAAAAAGGAGAAAATAACTGAATTTAGGGTTCTGTCCGATTTCATACGTTGTGTTAAAAAATGTATCTTTTCCTGAAAATTGGTAAGATAGTAGATTTTGAACTAGTCTCACTGCAAAAATAAATGTTACGAATAGTAAGTTCTCCCTTCATCAATACGTTCTTGGAAATTGCAACTTTGCACTTAAAGTATATTGAGTATATTGTATTGGTATAACAACATACCAATGTGAAACCAATTTGACATAGACTAATTGATATAAACAAGAGTTAAGTTCCTATGGCATATTTCTGGTCACAAAAATATCACCAAACTTCTAAATAAACACCCAAAACACTTATAATATTAAATACTGAAGTAAATGTGATAGATAGATAGATACATATTTAAGAAAGATTAACAAAAACAAGTAAGATAATCATTTACCCAATTATTCCAGTTTAGGAGCATGTGTGGCTGCAGCCTGTCCTGGCTGCTCAGGATACAAGGAGAGAACCAGCCCTGGACAGGATATCATCCCATGGCCAGACACACCCACACACACACCCCCACACTCACTCAGATGGGGACTGTGTAGACACGCCAATTCTCCTAATAACACAGCTTTGGGATGTAGGAGGAAACTAGAGCACCTGGGGAAAACCCAGGCAGACACGGAGAGAGCATGCAAACTCCATACAGACAGTGGCCAAGGCCGGGAATCAATTTTTTTTCTAATCGTTATAATGAAAGGATGCTGAACATTGTATGTGAGGTACTGCTTATGTTAATTAGCTTGACTTAGCCATTCCACAGTATATACAGGCACACCTCACTTTATTGTGCTTTGCTTTATTGCACTTTTCAGCTATTGCATTTTTTTAAACAAATTGAAGGTTTATGCGACCCTGCGTCAAACAAGTCTATCAGCACCATCTTTCCAATAGCATGCGATCTCTTTATGTCTCTCTATCACATTTTGGTAATTCTCACAATATTTCAGACTTTTTCATTACTGGTATTATGAAACATAGTGATCTAAGCAACAGATTTTCAATGTAGATGAAACAGCCATCTCTTGGAAAAAGATGTCATCTAGGACTTTCATAGCTAGAGAGAAGTCAATGCCTGGCTTCAAAGCTTCAAAGGACAGGCTGACTTTCTTGTTAGGGGCCAATGCAGCTGGTGACTTTAAGTTGAAGCCAAAATTCATTTACCATTCCAAAAGTCTTAGAGTCCTTAATAATTATGCTAAATCTACTCTGCCTGTGCTCTATACATGGAACAACGAAGCTTGGATGACAGCACAATATTTTAAGCCAACTGTTGAGAGCTACTACTCAGAAAAAACGATTCCTCTCGAACCATTACTGCTTATTGACAATCCACCTGGTCACCCAAGAGCTTTCATGGAGATGTCCCAGGAGATGAGTGTTGTTTTCATGCCTGTAGCCCATGGATCAAAGAGCAATTTTGACTTTCAAATCTTATTATTTAAGAAATATACTTTGTAAAATGATACCTGCCATAGATAGTGATTCCTCTGAAGGATCTGTGCAAAGTACACTGAAAACCTTCTGGAAAGAATTCCCTATTCTAGAAGCCATTAAGAACATTAGTGATTCAAGGGAAGAGGTCAAAATATCAACATTGACAGGAGTTCAGAAGAAATTGATTCAAATCCCCATGAATGACTTTGAGGGATCCAAGACTTCAGTGGGGGAAGTCACTGCAGATGTGATGGAAATAGCAAGAGAACTAGAATTAGAAGTGGAGCCTGAAGATGTGACTGAATTGCTGCAATCTCATGATAAAGCTTGAATGGATGAGAAGCTGCTTCTTATGGATGAGCAAAGAAAGTGGTTTCTTGAGATAGAACCTACTCCTGTTGAAGATGCTCTGAACACTGTTGTAATGATAAGAAAGGATTTAGAATATTACATAAACTTAGTTGATAAAGGCGCAGCAGGATTTGAAAGGAGTGACTCCAATTTTGAAAGAAGTTCTACTGTGGGTAAAATGCTATCAAACAGTATCACATGATATTGAGAAATCTTCCTTGAAAGGAAATCAATCAATCAATGCAGCAAACTTCATCATTGTCTTATTTTAAGAAATTGCCAGCCAGGCACGATGGCTCATGCCTGTAATTCCAGCACTTTGGGAGGCTGAGGTGGGTGGATCGCTTGAGGTCAGGAGTTCGAGACCAGCCTGGCCAACATGGTGAAACCCCGTCTCAACTAAAAATACAAAAATTAGCTGGGCATGGTGGTGGGCACCTGTAATCCCAGCTACTCGGGAGGCTGAAGAAGGAGAATTGCTTGGACCCAGGAGGCAGAGGTTGCAGTGAGCAGAAATTGCACCATTGCACTCCAGCCTGGGCGACAAGAGCAAGACTCAGTCTTAAAAAAAAAAAAAAAAAAAAAATCATCACAGCTACCCCAACCTTCAGCAACCAGCACCCTAACCAGTCAGCAGCCATCAACATCAAGGCAGGACCCTCTACCGGCAAAAGGATTACAACTTGCTCAAGGCTCAGATGATCATTCGCATTTTGTAGCAAATTAAAATATTTGGGACCCAGCAATCCCACTACGGGTATACCCAGAGGAATCTAAATCATTCCACCATAAAGACACATGCACACAAATGTTCACTGCAGCACTGTTCACAACAGCAAAGACATGGAATCGATCTAAATGCTCAACAATGGCAGACTGGGTAAAGAAAATGGGGTACATAAACACCATGGAATACTATGCAGCTATAAAAAAGAATGAGATCATGTATTTTGCGGGAACATGGATGGAGCTGGAGGCTATTATCCTTAGCAAACTAACACAAGAACAGAAAACCAAATACCACATGTTCTCACTTACAAGTGAAAGCTAAATGATGAGAATTCATGGACACAAAGAAGATAACAACAGACACGCGGGTCTCCTTACGGGTGGAGGGTGGGAGGAGGGAGAGAAGCAAAAAAAAAAAAAACTATTGGGTACTAAGCTTAGTATCTGGGTGACAAAATAATCTGTATGACAAACCCTTGTGACATGAGTTTACCTAGCTAACAAATATACACATGCTCCTGTTAAAAAAAAAAGAACCTTTCTCTAGAGTTTAAAAAAAATCTGGAAAATTCTTTATCCTAATGAAAATATATGTTCACGTGCTTTATATTTATGTTCAATATTTTTATTGGGATTGAATTTCAATTATTTAATATTTAATATAGAACGTTTTATGTCTAAGTAACTGGAAACTTAAAAATAAAAAAAATTTAATGAAAGTATGTACATTGTTCTTTAGACATAATACTACTGCACACTTAACAGATTACAGTGTAGTGTAAACATAACTTTTATATGCACTGAGAAATATAAAAATGTGTCTGACTTGCTTTATTGCAGTGGCCTGGAACCGCACCCACAATTCTCCAAAGTAAGCCTATACATATTGCAAAACAACACATTGTATATGATCGATATATACCATTTTTATATGTTAATTAAAAACATAAAAATTAAATATGTATCTTTTCATCTCCCCAGCTCCACCATAAAAATCAACCCCCTCTAAGTATTAAATGAATCCCCTTCTAAAGGAAATTGATTGAGAATACAAATACCAGTCTGGCAATAACACCACATTAATGATCAGTAACACACCAACTTCTGCATACACTGGCAGGGACTAAACACGGCAAAGGAAGAGGGCTCAGCAGCCAGCCACAGGCGCCGAGGCTGAACAGGGAGGAGGGAGGAGTTAGCATTCCGGTGAAGGTATCGGCTGGCAGCCTTCCAAGCTTGCAGATGTTCACCAACTCCTGTCTTCATCAGGAGCCAGATTTCCTGATGCTCGTTGAGCACCACTTCTCAGATTCATATTTGATTACTAAGGAAATAATATGCATATAAATGAGTTCCAGAGACTGCCCATGGCTATAATCTCCTATCGATCACAGTAATAATGTTCTGTACTTGTACTGGGCCCTCAATCTGAAGAGACCAAGATCCAATCCCACCGTTTCCCTATCAGAATAGCCATAGAATTAAAACTATTTAGGGAAACAAGCTCTTGTTTCACATTATCCAGAGCCAAGGACAAACAGATCTCGTCATTTGGCAATGCCTGGCTTCTTTCCCCTCCAAGTATGGTTCTGAAGTGGGAAGAAGATTCTTACAGCCAAAGAACCAGGAGGAAAAGACAGCTGGGTCTGGCATCTCTGTTCTTCTTAACAGGCTTGCTTTCAAAAGAAAGGCAACATTTTTTCCCTTATTTCTGCAGAATCAAGAGGTTTGCTCTAAAACAAGAAAGCTTAATGCTGCCACTTAGAAGACACACAAACCAAGTAAAACTCAGGACTAATCTTCAAGAGATCAATAGCTTCTGGCCATGTGTGACACAGGCTTGTCCTGCTGGGTTGCACAGTCCAGACGTCCAACCTCAGCTGTCCTACACCTCTCAGGTGGACGCCACAATGTAGGTCTGATCTTTTCATAGAGCATCACACCACAGAGTGGGCTAAATGTGTCAACCTTGATCAGAAGGAGAGTGCTGGGTGGCAGGAGGAAGGTTAGAGAATGTCTGTTTATTCAACCTCAAAAGGAAAAAAATGATGCTGGCAGGGTCAAAAATAGACTAGCAGAGGGAGACGGGATCTCAAAACCACCATGCTGGAGTCTGAACCAATTGTTCTGTCCACTTTGCTAATAATCACAGCCCATTCCTAGCCCAATAACAAACTGAAAGTTAACAAAGCTGCAGCTCTGGGGATTCTAATGTGACAGGGACAGGCTTTTGAAATAGCCACATCATTAAATGGAATTTGTTTCAAATCACCTTTAAAACCTCCAAACACAGGCCTGTACACTTGCAATTCCCAAAACTGAATCCTAAGAACCAGCATGCCCAGGCTGCCCCAGGAGAATGAGGGGGAAAGCATCAAGACAGAGAACTGTATGTGTTAGAACCCGGGGGACCACTGGGGTCATTAATTATATCGACTGGTGGCTGTGATCTCTAGGTTGGAGGTTGTTACAGTGTGGGGAGGATCCACATCCTGAAAAGCCTGGAAAGAGCCTGGGATTCAGACACAGGACATGGTGAAGCCGGGAGAGTCTGAGCAACAGCCAAGGGATACACCAGGCCCACTCTGGCCACCTGCTAATCCTAAAGTGGCTTATCAAGCAGCGTCAGCAAACACACCCCTGACACTGGCAGCGAATCACACGTGTAGGCCACATCCACTGCCCCAAGCACATGTATGCAAGTGGCCACCAGCTACAGCAAGGGGAGCCTTGCATGGAAGCAGGGATCCCAAGAAAAAGGGTAAGGGCCGATGTGATCCCACTCATCTGTCCTGCTGATGGTGGAAAGGGATGTTAGAGATCAGAAGCACATATTTGAGCCTTTTCTCCTTTCACCAACTGGCAGCAACAACATCCTTCATCCCCACCAGTCATTTCTCTGCCCATCTTCTAGGTGTCCAAAACAGAGATGGTTTCCCCAATTCTGAGTCCATCCAGCTCTAAGTAACAATAAGTATTGGCAAAAATGGGCTCATCTGTAAGGGATGCTTTTGGAACCTATCTGATCTCCTAGATGTTAAAATAAACAATCCGCTGATTTCACCACCATCCCAAAAGATCACAGAAGATCGGTGTCAGAAGGCTTATTAGTGTCCTAGGACTGCTGTAAGAAAGGACCACAAAGCAAGTGGCTCAATAAACAGAGTTATTGTCTTAGATCTAGAGGCTGAAATCTGAGATGAAGGTGTGGGCAGGGCTGGATGCTTCTTAAGGTTGTAAAGGAAAATCTGCTCCAGGCCTCTCTCCTATCTCTTGGTAGTTTGCTGGCAATCGTTGGCATTCCTTGGCTGGTAGATGCATCAGCCTGCAAGTCAGGTGCTGGTGCTCTCTCTGTGTGTCTATGTCCAAATTCCCCCCTTTTTATAAGAACATCCGACATGGTGTATCAGGGCCCATCCTAGTGAACTCATTTTACCTTTAAGATATTAAAATATGAACTTAAGATATTCTGAGGCTGGGTGCAGTGGCTCACGCCTGTAATTCCAACACTTTGGGAGGCTGAGGTAGGCAGATCACTTGAGGTTAGGGAGTTTGAGACCAGCCTGGTCAACATGGTGAAACCCCATCTCTACTAAAAATACAAAAAAAGCTAGCCAGGCATGGTAGTGGGCACCTGTAATACCAGCTACTTGGGAGGCTGAGGCAGGAGAATCACTTGCACCCGGGAGGTAGAGGTTGCAGAGAGCTGAGATCGTGCAATTGCACTCCAGCCTGGGTGACAGAGCGAGACTCCTTCTCAAAAAAAAAAAAAAAAAAAAAAAAAAAAAAAGAGTTTTCCAGTCAAAGCAAAGTCATTAGGGAAAAGGCATCAATCAAAAAAGTAAAGAGAACAGAGTTATAAAGCCTCAAACATTTGAGGGTAGGAGGTGAGGATGAAAGAGGCACAGAGGGCTGAGGAGGGCTGGAACTCTATCCTGAGGGTGAAATGGAGTCACTGGAAGCATTGGGCATTACTGGCCACAGTGGAGAGAATGGAGGTGGTAGAATTTGGGGTGGATTTGGAGGGAGGAGGGAGGTGGACATCTAGCATGGCTTCCAAGTCTCTGGTGTGTGCCTGGGTGGAGGGATGGAGGGGGCACTCGTGGTGCCCTGAACAGAGGCAGGGAAGAAAGGAGTGGAGCAAGCTGACGCAGCAGGGAACAAGACCATGCTTGTTATAAAGGTCTGGCTTCAGCAGTTCCTTCAAAAACCTCATTCTTAGCAACTTCTCTAATTGGCCACACCTGACTCTGGGGACAATCATCTTATACATGGAACGCTAATGTACTCGTTCATTTACCTGTTGTTTTGTAAGTGCCCATCAGTCATTTCTTGCAAGTGATGGTGAGGGCTTCAGTGTTGCCCTCTCATGCAGCCCATGGGATGTTCTGGAAGGGAGCCCCTCCTCCCAATTGTTTATCCTCCACCCCTATAAGGCACAGAGCACAGCATGTTCTCTGCACAAAGGAAGTGCTTGACAAAAGTGGCTGGCCAATGGTTTCCTTTTCTTGCTTTAGCCTCAAGGAAAGGGTAAGCCTCAGGTCCCCTTCACTATTTGTGCTCTTATTAGTCTTCCACCTGATAAGGATCTGGTGAACAAATTTGAATAGAAAATGGAAGTTTCCAAATGCCATTGCAACACTCAGTCTTCCTCATAAGTGTCAAGGGAGGCACAATATCTGCCTACTGCCTGCATGTTGTTTGCAGCAGCTCCTGGGCATACAGCTAAAGTCAGTGTCTCGCACCACTAAACCACCAAGGAATTTATAAACTTTTCCAAAACAGCCTCTGAGGGTCATGCTTCTAGAAACCTGGTGGACAGAGATCTGGCTGTACCTCCTGAGATGCTCTGTTCTTAAAGCTGCTGACTTCTAGCCCTAGCTCTGGAGACAGAACCAAAAGTCTCTAAAACAGGGGCTAATTTTAACGCTGGAATACAGAGAGGTGGAATGACTCCTTCTGCCCTTGGAGAGCCACCTGGGCAATCCAGGGCAACTGCAAGAAGAAGAAAGGGCTACTCAAAAAAACAAAAACTGATTTGGTGCCTGTAATCCCAGCACTTTGGGAGGCTGAGTTGGGAGGATCACTTGAAACCAGGGGTTTGAGACCAGCCTGGGCAACCTAGTGAGACACCGTCTCTACAAAAAAAACATTTTTAAATTAGCCAGGCATGGTGGCACATGCCTACAGTCCCAGCTACTTGGGAGGCTGAGGTAGGAGGATTGCTTGAGCCCAGGAGGTTGGGGCTGCAGTGAGCTATGACTGTGCCAGTGTAGTCCAGCTTAGGTGACAGAGGGAGACCCTATCTCAAAGAAAAACAAAGAACAGCCTTTGTTGCATTCTCATGGTCCATAAATGATGCGACAGCCAAGCATGACAGTGCATACTCTCCTCTCCTTAGTTACAGACCCACAGTTCTTGCCATGAAGGGTGCGAAAACTCTGCCTTCACAGAACAGAACTCTATGGGTACCTAAAGCATTCAGAAAAAGTTATGTGGTTTCTATTCAAAGCTCATAGAAACTCTAAGTATGCTAAGTGATAGGGTTTGGCTGAGTCCTCACCCAAATCTCATCTTGAATTGCAGTTCCCATAATTCCCATGTGTTGTGGGAAGGACCCAGTGGGAGATAACTGAATCATCGGGGCGGTTTCCCCCATATTGTTCTCATGGTAGTGAATAAGCCTCACAAGATCTGATAGTTTTATAAGAGGTTTCTCCTTTTGCTTGGCTCTCATTCTCTTTTGCCTGCCACCATGTAAGATGTGCCTTTTGCCGTCCACCATGACTGTGAGGCCTCCCCAGCCACATGGAACTGTGAGTCCATTAAACCTCTTTTTCTTTATAAATTACCTAGTCTCGGATATGTCTTTATCAACAGCATGAAAACATACTAATACACTAAGGTTAAGACTTTGTACTTCCTCTCAAATAATATTTCCTCCAGCAGTAAATTTTCCCAACTTCTATAAGACTAACTGGCTTTCCTGACTTGGTTCTGGAGAACTGTCACCACCATTCAATTAAGGAATGCTGCTGCTGCTCTTTCCGAAGAACGCTGCCAGAGCTGCCCAGGTGAGAAGGCACACCAGCCAAATTCTGTTCCTGAGAATTTCCTCCATATTCCAGAATGTCAAACCAGGCCAAGATTTCTGTGATTTTTTACCCCTAGACCACAAATGATCTGGCCTCTCAATGGACAGCACAACATTTGGATTCTAGGTGGGGCTGAGGGGGACGTAAGTAATCATGACGCCACAGTTGCAGATGTTAACTAAGCTAAAGCTCCTTTTAGCACAGGCAGAGGGGCCCAATCCTCTGTAGCATGAATTAACACCAGGGAATTACACTGGACTTATCTTCACTTGCGCTTAGTCACTTTGAAAATCCATGAGTGTGTTTGGGGTCTCCAAGATCACCCCCAGGTTTGGTAAGAGGTGATCTGGTAGCAGGACTCAGCATACAGCTGTTCCTATGGCTAAGAGTTATGACAGTGAAAGAGGATGAAGCACAACCAGCAAAGAGAAGGTGCATGGGATGAAGACCGGAGCACACCAGGCCCAAGCTCCCAAGAGTCCTCTTCCAGTGGATCACACTGGACGTGCTTAACTCCCCCAGCAAATAGCAGTGGCTACAGATGTGAAGTGTTGTCAACCAGGGAAGTTCGGTAGAAACTCATCACCCAGGGACCTTATCGTGGGGCTGCTGATGTAGGCAGCCTCTGCCTACCATGTCCCAAAATTCCAGACTCCCAAATAGAAAGCAGTGTTCAGTATAAATCATACTGTTTGCACAAGCAGCTTCGGCACAGCAAGCCCATCTTATGATTTAGGAAAAATTGTATATTGGCGAAGGAAACTGTTTATCAGTTAAGTTGCCAGACACCAGCCAAGGGTCAACTTTGCAGGCAGGCCCTTATAAGGACAGCAGCCTAGGGCCTGCACGATGAATAAATCAAGACTCCGGTGAGGTATGTAAATCCCAGGCCTCAGCTGCTTTGTGATTGGTTGTCCTTGTTAAGGTTTCCTACCACACCTTGACCTTAGAGTAGCCCTCACCTCTGGGCTGGCCCCATGTGATGCAATGGTGCTCATTCTTTGTACACTTCGGGCAACTCCTGCCGGAGTTTTTAGTGACATCACAGAATTTCTTAGAGCCACAGGGCCCTGAAAGAACATCTGGTTCATTCCCCTTGGAATACAGATGTGGCGAGGTTTAGTGACTTGCCCAGACTAAGTCTGGCCTTGAAAACCTTTCTCTTCCGCCAGACTCTACTGGCCCCAAACATGGGAAGGGCTTTGACATTGACGAGGCCTTCATCCACGGCCCTCATCCATGACCCACAGGCCTGAGAGGAGGGAAACAGACCAGCAACACGGAGGCCCGAGCCTAGGGAGTGGCCTGGCTGTGCAACCAGGCCTGGTGAGGTCAGGGAGCCATCGCCAGCAGTTCAGTCATGATGTACGAGAGCTTGTAGAGAACACAGGCTCAGGGCCAGTCCACTCTGATCAACACAGGGTCACCTTGAGGTGTCTTGAGACTTCATCAGCAAAGCCCTCCGAGTAGCTGTCAAGCAGGTGGTGGCATGGGGGCTCTAGGGTCCATCAATTTGAAACCAGTAGCTTGGGGGAGAGGGGCGGCCAAAGGCCAAGCAGCTTGCCTTGGCCCCAGGCAAACAGGATGCACCATCATCTCAGGGGAGCAGGCGGGCAAGTCAGCAATTGCAGAAGGTGGCAAGGACCAGGGTTGGGAATGCTCACCCCAAAGACACGCTGGACACCAGGTTAAGGTCGGCAAACGAATGATCCTGTGTCAAATGCACCACGGGAGTGAGGGTTTCCACTGCATTCATGTGTGTGTTCCATGTCATGTTTTCTTTGACTAGGGCCCCACTCACCACCACAATTTTCCATCCTCATGCAAACGGGAAGCAGACACATGGGGATTTGGATTGGATTTAAAAGGCTCCAGTTCAGCTCAGCACTGTCTTAAATTCAGGAGATAAAAAGTTAGGTTTGGCGGGTAGTAGCTGTTTTCTATCACGTGGACTGGGAAGCAGAAAAAGTGAATGGTCAAAGAGAGATGCTCAGGTGGGAGGCAAAGGAAGAAAACTCCTGGGTTCCCTGTGTCCCTGATTCTGATCCTTCCTGAGGCTAAGCCACGGCTCTGTCTGGGGCTCCATGAGATCCAATCAAATGCAATGCCTGACCCGAGACTGGATCATATTGAGAGGGGGAGGATGCTGTAGTGGGTCAACTGGAGACACTGGCATATGGACGGTGAATTGGATAAAAGCATTGCATCGATATTAAAAATACTAAAGTTGATCATTCTCCTGTGGTTATGTAAGAAAACATGCCAGTTCTTAGGAACCACACACTTGAAGTATTTCAGACTAATGGATGGACTAATGGCATCCATCCTGGCTGTTATAACAAAACACCATAAACTGGGTGGTTTATGAACAACAGGCAGTTGTAGCTCACAGTTCTGGAGTTGGGAAGTCTAAGATCAAGGTGCCCGCAGATTCGGCATCTGGTGAGGGCTCGCTCCCTTCCTGTTTACAGGGGGCGCCTTCTCGCTGTGTCCTCACAGCAACATATAAATTTTGCAAGGATACAAACTTTCCAACCAGAGCACCCCATATCCTAATCATACCTTGCCCACCTTGCCCTCTTTTTGTCTACTCCTCAAGCAGGCTTCTGTGACTTGTAAGCAAAGCAGGCCTAACATTTACCATTAGGATCGGCTGAGCCAAGCAGGCAGACTTAGCTTCTTCACTCTGTATGACAAATAAAGCTTGTGGAAGTGTTCCAGATGAAAGGAGACTAAAGACAAGATCGCACTGCTCCCAAGCTTTGGGACTGGAGCACACCGTCTGACTCCTCTGAAGCTCAGTGTTCCTTGGCTGTAAAATATCTAGTTAGACAGTCCCACCATCCCTTTTCCAGGGATTCTGGGCCAGATGTGAAAGGGAATCTGGTGACGCATTTACTGGATGTTACGTACCATCCCTGGTGTTTTTCAGCAAACTTTGTGAACATTCACATGCCGGGAAAGAAGATAAAACTATTGCCTCACATCAGTTCAGCTCAGGTTTTATAAGCAATTGAGTTTGCACCAAACCTATCAAAGAAAGAATTCAATTTTCAAAGGTTCATTTCGTTTTGTTTTTCAAATTCAGAATTGAAGATAAGGAACTGTGTTTATCTCCTTGGGTTCTTTTGAAATTTCCATCCTGCTTCCAGGTCGATCCAGGTGCAGCATTTTGAAGAACGCCTGTTACCTTCTATTATTGCATCACTTTATGTCTCTGTCTCTCACTGGGCTGCAAGCTCTTTAAAACCCAGAGCTATTATCACAGTCATTTTTGTATGCACCTCACTACCTAGCAAAGTGTTTCATGTACAGCGAGGCTTGAATAAATGTTTATCAAATGAATAAATGCGGTTTCAAAGATAATTTCTTTTCAGTATTCAAAACACAATGCATAGTTGCAGATTTCCTAGAGTGAGCAATTATTGAGTCATTTGAAGATACATAAATCTAAAAATTCAGGTGGCAATGTCCTTATTCCTTTCAATTCACCCTTTTTAAAGCATCCTCAATAAAACTATATTCCCATAACTTTAAACAAGCAAGTCAAATAGAGGTAGTAGCAGAAGTGACAGAAGCAACTTAGATTTAGTGAAAGCTACAATATGCGAAGTATTCTTTAAAGAACTTTATGTGTATTAAATTATAACCTGTCAACCATATTTTAAAATTTGTTCATTTTACTGATATGGAAACAAGACAGGCAAGTTGCCTAAAGACACACAGCTAGTAAGTGGCAGCTGTCAATCCCAGGCCATCAGCCTCCATAACCTATGATCACATGACCTCTCACATAAGGGGAACACAAAACCCCCTTTTGCTTTCATTATGGGTTGAATTGTGTCTCCCCAAAAGATGTCACAGTCCTCACTTCCAGTACCTGTGAATGTGACCTTATTTGGAAACAGAGTTGTGGCAGATGTAATTAGTCAGGATGAAGTCATGAGGGTTGGCCCTAATCCAATATGACTGGTGCCACCTATATAAAGGAAAAATTCAGACACAGGCATGCACACAGGCAGAACCCCACTGAACATGAAAGCAGAGACGAGGTGATGCATCCTCAGGCCAAGGAGCATCAGAGACTGCCGGCAGGCCAGCAGAAGCCAGGACAGGGCTGGAACAGACTCCCTCACAGCCCTCAGAAGGAACCAGCCCTGCCCACACCTTGATACCTCCAGCTTCCAGCCTCCAGAACTGAAAAAAATTAATTTCTGTTGTTTAAGCCACCCAGCTGATGGTACTTTGTTACGGCAACTCCCGGAAACTAATATAAGCCCATCAAACTGCTAAAAGACATTAGCTAGAATCAGCAATGCCAATACATAATCCTGCAGAAGGCATGTGCATAACATAATAATTGCACCTTTGTTGGACTGAAGAGCTAAAGATACAGGACATTAATGCGGCTTCCAACTCACTGGCATGCCCCCAAGTCCTACTTCCTGGCCTTTCAGTAGCTATGTCTTAAAAAAAGAAAAAAGGAAACTAGAAACCCAAAAAACCAAGTGAAGACACATTTCCATGCTACCCGCCAGCTCCTCAGAATGAGCAATGCCACCACTCCCGTCCAGGAGCACACATGTTCCCACACTCACACATCAGCCACAAAGCAGACACTTCCCACTCTCTGCCCCGCAACCCACTGATGATATTCTCCACCCTCCCACAGACAGTGCATGAGTCACAGACAGCAGGTGGCAGCTGGGGACCACTGTCAATGCTTCCCAGTCCTTCTGTGGGCTGCAAGAGGGGGAGAGAGGTGGCCCCACAAATGGACACCAGAGCAAGAGTTTCGTAGAGGGAGGGGAGGAATCTTCAGACCCCAGGATATTAGCATCACCTCCTGGCTGTCACTCACAGCAAATTTCTGGTTGTCTTGATATCAAAAACCTGAAAGACACTGTAAAGGCATTTGGATGAGATTTTCCACCATCTGATGCAGTTGCTTCCGCTAGAGTTTAGGGTTTCGTCATCTGAGGTCTGCTGATCTAAATCTCTCTGCACGTGTGCCTGACACACCAGGGCTCTACACACAAACACACACACCCACACACGCACACACACTGGCTCTTGTCCCTGTAAGAACATAGCCTCCTGAAACAGCCCCAAAGCCTGGCAGTGAGCAATACACCCAGAGAGGTGCGGGGTGGGTCAGGTTTCTGACCCAACCCGAACTGAGTTTTGTGCTTGGGGTTAGCTCTTTTAGAAGTCCCTATCACTAAATCACCTTGGTAATTCCAGATGCCCATCAGGGATTTTGTTTCCTGAGAGTGAAGCCAACTCTGGACTCACAGAAACTGTGGGGAATGGTCCCCAGCCGGGTGGCTACCACGAATGGGAAAGCCACCTTGTCATTGGTTTGAATTGAATTATAAAAACACCTGGGATGCGAACACAGGTTATTCTAAAGAGAAAATCCTATGATATTCACCAAGGGTTGACAGTTTGACAGAGGGATGCCTAAAACTGCAGGCAAAGGAGTAAACATTAAGCCAAAACGGTAGCCCACCAGACGCCCTGCTACTGCCTGTCAGCAGCACCCCACATGGGCCAACTTTCTGTGTGAAACAAGGAAGCCCATTCAGAAGAGAAATAAATGTTTCAGCCAAATTAAGCACAGACACCCACACAAAGAGCTCTATTAGATCATGACAGGCACAGAAGGTCACCTTGCCCCATGACTTGCCTGCACTTAGGCACTGGAACACCCACCTACTGGAACTCTGCTAACAGGGAGGGGGACTCATTACCCGGAGCATCCTCAACTCCCAGTCGGTCACAGTTTAACACTGGCCTCGTCAGCCCTCTTGGTACAGCATTGTCCAATAGACAGGATGGGAGTTTACTAGAGGCATACCTCTGTCTTGACTGCTGTTTATTCAGACAAGATTGCGGGGCATGATTTTGCTACAGCAGGCCTGACAGGCTGGGGGCTCTCTCCTCATTTGGCTAAGTTCCATCATCCCAAGAAGGACATGGGTCTCAGAGGTGGGTTTTAAAGTGCAACAGCCCTACCTTGAAGCAAGATCTCAGAGGGTTGAAGGGAAATGAGGCTTCTAAGAGACTCCTTTAGCTTTTTAAAGTTTTTATCTTTTATTTTTTGAGACAGGGTCTGGCTCTGTCACCCTCTCTCATGCCAGGCTGGAGTGCAATGGCATGATCTTGGCTTACTGCAGTGTCCACCTCCTGGGCTCAAGTGATCTTCCCATCTCAGCCTCCTGAGTAGCTGGGACTACAGGCATCCACCACCACGCCCGGCTGACTTTTGTATTTTTTGCAGAGACGGGGTTTTGCCATGTTGCCCAGGCTGGTCTCAAACTCCTGAGTTCAAGTGATCCACCCGCCTCGACTTCCCAAAGTGCTGGGATTACAGGTGTGAGCCACCACACTTGGCCTCCTTTAGCTTTTAAAAATTTCTCATGAATATTGTCATGACTACAGGTGCAAGCTTATTCCACTTTCTTTTGCCCATTAAATTCAGGTTAATTTTTGAACTACTCATCACGGTCACCTCTAATCCTTTCTAGACTAAAGCAAGAATCTAAATAAATATATAGACAGATTAGACTGCTCTCTTACTGCAGGTGATTAAACCTGAACAGATGATAGGTCCTGACATACAGCCTCCTAGGGCTGCACCATATAGAGTGGGCGGCCTGCACGCTGCTCGTCTTGGCCCCGCACAGATCTGTCTTGGGAGCCAGGAGGTCTGAGCCTCCTGGGAATGAAAACCTTCCTATTCAGACAATCACAGGGACATTACTGAGTAGAACAGAAAGTTCACGTGAGCTTTTCATATAAGAACAAGAGACCTCCTACAGACTGTGGTGCCCTGCAGGAGGCTTTGAGCTAAGCCACTTCACAACTCGGGGGCACCTGAGCAAAGAAGTCAGGGACAGTTTCAGAGCATTCAGGTGATTTCAGTGGCCCACCTGGGAAAATCAAAGATGGGGCTTTTCTCTCATAAACAGGAAGCAAATGGGCAATGCTGCCCACAGCCCACAGCTAGCAGAGCAGGTCCACATCTGCCCAACACGGAAAGTGAAAACAGACTGCAAAAGGAGCTTAACCTTCCCAGAAAACAATCCCACCTGTGGATCCTGAGTCAGACCTTGCCAGAAGCAAATGGGCACCTGCCAGGAATTTGAGAGGTGACCTGGACTTTCTGAAATTTTCCAGAGTCTAAAATGGAGGGATGGTGTCTAGAAAGTTCTACAATATCCCAAACTGTGCCCTCTAGATAACAGGCACTCAATAAACATTTGGGGATGATGAGAAATCAGCCTGCCATAAGCAGAGAGCCAATCAAGAAACTTGGCTCACACAGCACCAGGAGCACCCAATATTCCGGGGCAGGACCCAGAGTCTCCCTCTTACCCCCAACCCAGGGTCCTCCTGAAGTGGTCCTCAGATACACTTTGAGAGACACTGATCCCGACATGTCACACACCCAGGGATGATGGAGCTGCGACTAGAACGTGGTCGGATAATGCCCCACTCAGTGCTGCTTCTCTTGTGCCAGAGCATGACTGATTATTGATAGAGACCGGGTATTTCCCTCTAAGTGCCAACAACCATCTATAACAAAGCTCTGCAGTTGGATGTGATTCAGAGTAAGCAAGTCATCCTTAACGCAGTTCTAAACTAGACTCTATGACACATGTTCTTTGAAAGTGGCTGCCGGCCTGTTCTTACAAGAAAAATGAACTTGGGGGCTTCCACTGGCTTGGCTCAGTGTGCTCTTCATCATTCGCTTGACCCGTTCCAGCGGCAGCCTGCAGCTGAAATCAAGAAGCATTTTCTATCCAGCCAACAGCACAGGTCCCAGGGCGATGCCTGGACCTCTGCCTGGAGGCAGTGGCTCAAAAGGATTATTTCATTCCTTCTCATCAACCCAGAAGTCTCACCTCATCCAAAAGCTCATGTTTGAACTAATGACAATTAAAATGCAAAAGTACTGTTTCCTAGTCCCTTTGCCCTGTTTTCCTCATCCATAATTTTAAACCCTCTTTGAATTATACAATTTTTGTTGTTGTTGTTGTTGTTGTTGTTGTTTGAGATGGAGTCTAGCTCTGTTGCCCAGGCTGGAGTGCAGTGGTGCAATCTCAGCTAACTGCAACCTCTGCCTCCTCGGTTCAAGTGATTCTCCTGCCCCAGCCTCCCGAGTAGCTGGGATTAAAGGCACCTGCCACCATGCCCAGCTAATTTTTGTATTTTTAGTAGAGACACGGTTTCACCATGTTGGCCAGGCTTGTCTTGAACTCCTGACCTTGTGATCCGCCCCCGCTTGGCCTCCCAAAGTGCTGGGATTAAAAGCACAAGCCCCCACGTCCAGCCTGTATTATACAATATTTTATATACTATTTCCAAACCCCTTTGAAATGAAGATGTAATCAATAATGCTCTCCACTGAACTCATCAGGTGATCTCGCATGGTGGAGGAGGCACACTGACCTTGATTTCAGTCCCAGAGCCCTTCCTGTACTATCTGTGTGACCTTCAACAAGTGACCTAAACTCTCTAAGCCCCATTTTCCTCTTCTACAAAATGGTACTAATACCTGCATTATAGGGTTGTTGGGACCTTAGAGGGACAAAAATATGCTGATATGAAAGTGCTTTGTGCAGGTGGTATTGTCACTAAGGCAGCCAGCAAAAAGACTCCATTTCCCCTTGAGCAAAAAAAAAAAAAAAAAAAAAAAAAAAAAGTGAGAGGGGGCTGAAGAGCATTTGGGGCATGATTTCTTGTAAGAAGTGATGATGGAATAGTGAGAAGAGAAGCCTAAAGAACAGCCAGAATGGTAACTGATAGATAATGCCTGTGTTTGTTTATCAAAGGCAGGTGGACAGCAAGAAGAAAGGCACATGCAGAAAGGATCCAGAGATTTTGTCCTATCTTGCTGTGGTTTGAATGTTTGTGTGCCCTCCAAAATATATGAATTGGAAACTTAATCCCCAATGCAAAAGTGTTGGGAGGTGAGGTCTAACGGTAGGTGCCAGGGCCACAAGGGCTCTGCTCTGATGAGTGGGTTAATGCTGCTATCAAAAGAGCTTGCAGTGGTACTGGCATCAAAATAGACACATAGACCAATGGAACAGAATAGAGATCTCAGAAATAAGACCACACATTTCCAACCATCTAATCTTCGACAAACCTGACAAAAACAAGCAATGGGGAAAGGATTCCCTATTTTATAAATGGTGCTGGGAAAACTGGCTAGCCATATGCAGAAAACTGAAACTGGACCCCTTCCTTACACCTTATACAAAAATTAACTCAAGATGGATTAAAGACTTAAATATAAAATCCAAAACCATAAAAACCCTAGAAGAAAATCTAAGCAATACCATTAAGGATATAGGCATGGGCAAAGATTTTATGATGAAACTGCCAAAAGCAATTGCAACAAAAGCAAAAATTGACAAATGGGATCTAATTAAACTAAAGAGCTTCTACACAGCAAAAGAAACTATCATCAGAGCAAACAGACAACCTACAGAATGGGAAAAAATTTTTGCAATCTACCCATCTGACAAAGGTTTAATATCCAGGACCTACAAGGAACTTAAATTTATAAGAAAAAAACAACCCCATCAAAAAGTAGGCAAAGGACATAAACAGACACTTCTCAAAAGAGGACATTTATGCAGCCAACAAACATATGAAAAAAAGCTCAACATCACTGATCGTTAGAGAAATGCAAATCAAAACCACAATGAGATACCATCTCATGCCAGTCAGAATGGTGATTATTAAAAAGTCAAGAGGCTCATTACAGGCATGGTGGCTCACACCTGTAATCCCAGCACTTTGGGAGGCTGAGGTGGGCAGATCACCTGAAGTCAGGAGTTCAAGATCAGCCTGGCCAACATGGTGAAACCCCATCTCTACTAAAAATATAAAAATTAACTGGGCATGGTGTTGTGTGCCTGTAATCCCAGCTACTGGGGAGGCTGAGGCAGGAGAATCACTTGAACTCAGGAGGCGGAGGTTACAGTGAGCCGAGATCGCGCCACTGCACTCCAGCTTGGGAGACAATGTGAGACTTCATCTCAAAAAATAAAAATAAAAAGTCAAGAAATAACAGATGCCGGCAAGGCTGTGGAGAAATAGGAACACTTTTACACTGTTGATGGGAATGTAAATTAGCTCAACCATTGTGGAAGACACTGTGGTGATTCCTCAAGAATCTAGAGCCAGAAATACCATTTGGCCCAGCAATCCCATTACTAGGTATATACTCAAAGGAATATAAATCATTGTTATAAAGATACATGCATGCATATGTTTACTGCAACACTATTCACAATAGCAAAGACACGGAATCAACCCAAATCCCCATCAATGATAGACTGGATAAAGAAAATGTGGTACATATACACCATGGAATACTATGCAGCCATAAAAAGGATCAAGATCATGTCCTTTGCAGAAACATGGATGGAGCTGGAAGCCATCATTCTCAGCAAACTTCTGTTCCTGTGAACAGAAAAGCAAACACTACATGTTCTAACTTATAAGTGGGAGCTGAATAATGAGAACACATGGACACAGGGAGGGGAACAACACACACCGGGGCCTGTTGGGGGTGTGGGGAGAGGGAGTGTATCAGGATAAATATCTAATGCATGCAAGATAAATATCTAATGCATATTAATACCTAGGTGACGGGTTGATAGGTACAGCAAACCACCATGGCACACATTCACCTATGTAACAAATCTGCATGTCCTGCATACGTATTCCAGAACTTAAAATAAAATAACATTTTTTTAAAAAGGGTTTGCAGGAGTAAGTCTACTCTCTTCTGCCCTTCCACCATGTGAGGACACAGAGTTTGCCAATTTTTGCCCTATTCTGCCAGGTGAGGACACCTCAAGAAGGCCCTCAGCAGACACCAGATGCTGGCACCTTGGTCCTGGACTCCAGTCTTCCAGAACTGTGAAAAATACATTTCTGTTTGCTATCAATTATCTGGCCTGTGCTCTTCTGTTACAGCAGCACAAGACTGTCTAAGATGTATCTTTGTCTATTGGCATGGGTTATGAGTGTGTGTACTGTCTACTTTTAACCTTCCACACTGACTCCCTAGAAGCCCAGAATCCACCTCACCATGTTTGCAGTCTCCTTCACAGCCCTTGGTGGGGTATCTTGTGCATGGTGGGTCCTCAGTAAGTGTGCTGCTCTCTTGATCAGGAGCAGCCCTCGGCCCTCTTTGTAGTGTCATTGAGCCAGAGCTGCTAGGGAGAAGGAGGGACACTGAGTTTGAAGGGGAAGGGAGGCATCCAGCCTTTACAGGCCCAGCCCCACACAGACCCTTGCTCCAATGCCATCTGAAACATGCTGGGGCTCCCAAGTCAACTACCACAGCTGGGATTCCTCCAGTGCAGACTTGTCACCATCACCATGGCCTCAGTTGGCTGAGCCCAAGCTGCCGGCCCCCGCTTGTTTTTACATCCACTGTCAGCTCATACCTTCCACCCTCCGCAGCAGGGTGGCACCACTCTGCCCCCACATTGCCCGGTCACCTCTGTGGCTGTCTGCTGTCAGCTGCATCTGTGAGTGGTGTGCTGGTGTTTTTCCCTTAAGCTGGTGTGTACCAGGGTTCACTCTCTCCCTCACATGAACTCCTTGCCTCTGACTTCAGAGAGAAAGGAGGCTCTTTCTCCATCATCCCACCTCACCCCAGGCTCAGCTCTTTCCAGAAAACACACGAGCCAGGCTCAGCCTCTACCAAGAGAGCTGGATTGTGGAGGACCAGGGTTCCCACCTCTCAGAGTGATGGGCACCAAGAACGCCACTTGCACCCTGTGTACCAAGCATGGTGCAATGAGTCACCAATGCCCTGGGGCAGAGCAGGCCACCTCCAGCTGGTCAGGCCTCAAGTTGAGAGGCAGCAGAGTAGCGCAACAGCACAAATGCTGGGAGTCAAGCTCTGACACCACCAGCTCCTAGTTGTGTAACGCTGGGCAAGGTCCTTAACCTCTCGGTTTCTCCATGTGCAAGTGAAGAGTCACTTCCTCAGACTGTAGTGGTAAGAATTAAGTGAGATGCTTGGCACATGGCAAATACCATGGGGTTTGCATTTATGTCGCGGGTGAGGAAGGATCTGATATAGTGTGTCTTCAAAAGTATTGCACTATTTTTTAAAATGCCCCTCATTATCTCTATACAGAGAGAATAAGAAGCAAACAAGGACCTCGCAACCTTGGACCGCTTCATTCTAATCAGGGAATGGATATTTTTGTTCCCAATTTGTGAATGTCATAAATTAGGGTTCTTCCTAGGATTTCTGCCCCTATTTGTACCCCACCCATCAGAGCCACAAGGAATTGTCAGAACGTCTCAGATCACTTCTGGGCTCAGCACAAATCAATGGGCTGTGTGAGCCTCACACCCAATTCATCTTCAGTCCGGTCAACTGTGAGCACCTGGGAGAAGGAAGTGCTTTCTGAGAAGTCAAATAAGCCAAGTGATACAGTCTGCCAAACCCACCTCCTCTGTCAAGGTTGACTATCATTACTTTTCTTCTTGCTGACAGTGAGGAGGAAATCACCCCTCCCCCATCATTTCCTGGGCCCCTTAATGTTCCCAGCAGGGTCCTGAGGTCAGTGAAATCATAGGTCTTTTCTAGTTCCAGCTGCTGGAATTTAAACAAATCCTATCCGCCAAACCTCCAACAGAATTACTGGCTTTACAAACAACACACAACAAAAACAAACTAAACCCAACCCGATGGTTAACCTATGCACCAAACTGCCACTGTCATCTCCGTTCGTAACATTCTGCCTCTCGGCTGAGAGAGTTCTTATCCTTGAGAAGAAAGCAACAGCGAGATAAAAGTGAAGCATCTCCTGTTCAGGTTGCAAATGCCATCCCAGAGCTCAGCAAGTCAGCGAAGATGGGCTGCTAAGATTTCACGAGGCAGAGAGCAGCTCTCTTTTCAAACTGTCAAGAAATACAGGTGAGCAATTAAGCAACTGAAAGGGAAGAAGGACCCAGCTTCTTAAAGAGCATTTAAAAATGCAAAGCACATTATCTGTGACACCGCCCAGGGTACTTAATTAACTCCATGCCCAGCTGAAAGCCCAAAGCCTGGCTTTCCAGACCACCGGAATGCAGAAGGGTGGGGCTGGCAGCCCCTGGGGAGATGACTGAGTCTGGCCTCCCAGTTTACAGATGCTGCACTTGGAAAAAGGGGTCTCACTGCCAATTAGCGAGTTAGGGGCAGGCACAGGGCAGCAACCCAGATCTGTGCTGTCCATCACAGGAGCCACAAATTAATTAAAATGAAAGACAATTTAAAATCCAGCTCCTCATTCACACTGGCCTCAGTTCATATGCTCAGTAGCCATACGGGGCCAGTGGCTACCATGTTGGACAGCGCAAAACAGAATATTTTCATGGTCTTGGAAACGTCTATGGACAGGACTGCTCCAGATCACAAGCTCTTTCCACGTCACCGGGGTGTGGGTCTTTTCTTTAACCCACAGTTATCCGTCCATTAAGCATGGTGAAATCAGTTCAGTGGGTCACAGCCAGCTTTTCCTCTTCTTGTTAATGAAATGAAAGAAAGAAAATACGATAGCATTTCACGTGCCAATGAAACAAGGGTAAGCATCATGTCATAAACCTTATGTTTATTTTTATTTATATTCATACATACATACGTAGGTTATCTGTAAATTTTTTAACACTGATACAGTATATATATGCTATATAGGTACACTATATACACTAATTATGATCCAGTACATAAATACAAAGATAAATATATATCTATCCAGCAGGGTCTTGAGGTCAGTGAAATCATGGGTCTTTTCTAGTTCCATCTGCTGGAATTTAAACAAATCCTACCTGCCAAACCTCAAACTTAATCACTGGCTTTACAAACAACATACAACAAAAAACAAACCATATATACGTATATACCGGATCATAATATAAAATTTGTTCTCCCTGTAAGTCAGGGTCAGAAAAAGTTACTCTGCTGGCCTGCAGATGTTTGGGTGATTTACCCCCACTCATTTTCCCCTTTCCCAAATGACTCAGATCACGAGAGAGTGAGGCAAAGTGTCTGCTCCACAGTGCCACACATGGGTTTTCCTGCAGACCTGATTTTCCATGCACTCTTCCCTGTAAACCCATTTCCTCTGGACACACAGCCAGGCAAGTGGAAGGCTCCAGACGTTCATCTGGGTTCCAGTGCCCCCAGCACAAGTAAGGGCAGAAGGCAGTGGGCAGGGAGACCACAGCTGAGCCAGCATCCATGCTACGGGTTGTGAAGTCCTGCCCTTCTATCCTTACCACAGAACGAAGACTTGTTAGAATGTCAACAGTGTCCAGAAATCATTCTTGCTCCCTAGGACCACAAGCTCCTCCCTGTCCAGCTATAGTTCTATAGTTCTTAGAGGTCAGAAGAAACTGAAATACTCTTTCCCTCATTGTGATGGTTAATTTCAATATATCAACTTGGCTAAGCCACAACAGCCAGATATTGGGTGACACACTTTTCCGGATGCTCCTGTGAAAGTATTTTTTAAATGAGATTAACATTTATATCAGTAGATACTAAGTAAAGCAGACACCCTGTATAATGTGCTGGGCCTCATCCAATCAGTTGAAGGCTTTACAAGAAACAAACCGATTTCTTCTGAAGAGGAGGAATTCCGCCAGCAGATTGCTTTGGACTTGAACTGCAACATTAACTTTTCTTTAGGTCTCTAGCCCACTGGCCAGGTCTACCCTGCAGGGCTTCCCTGCACCCTCTCTTCCTCTTTCCGTGTGTGTGTGTGTGTGTGTGTGTGTGTGTGTGTGTGTGTGTGTGTATCCTTTTGGTTCTGTTTCTCTGAAGAAACAGAAGTTTCCTTGACTACTACCTTCCTCGTCATTCAAGGCTCTCTGAAATGCTACCTCCTCTGTGCAGCCACACCTGATTTCCTCTGCCAAATATAATTGCTTCTTCTTCTGTGCTCATTCTCATAGTATATTTCTTGTGCCACATTTTTGCAAACAATTACTAAGCTTTGTACTATCATTAATTGATCATCTAAAGCAGGGGTGTCCAATCTTTTGGCTTCCCTGGGCCACATTGGAAGAATTGTCTTGGGCCACATACAAAATACAACAATAGCTGATGAGCTAAAAAAAAATGCAAAAAATTTTCATAATGTTTTAAGAAAGTTTATGAATGTGTGTTGGGCTGCATTCAGAGCTATCCTGGGCCACATGCATCCCACAGGCAGGGGTTGGACAAGCTTGATCTAAAGCTTAGATTCTAAATCTTGTTGCTCAAAGCTTGGTCCATGAACCAGCAGCATCAGCATGCCCTGGAAGCTTGCTAGACATGCAGAATCTCAGGCTCCACCCCAGACCTACAGAATCAGAATCTGCATTTTAACAGATGCCTAGGTGATTCACACGCACATTAAAATTTAAGCAGCACTGCTGTAAACAAGTGCTTCTTAACATTGAGGAGCTTTAAAAAACATGTATACCTAGTTCCTACCCTCAGAGACGCTGATGTAACCGGTCTGGGGTGCGGCCTGGGCTTCAGGATGTTTGACACCTTCCCAGGTGTTCCTAACTCATAGTCAAGCCTGAGAACCACCGTAACAAACCCCTTGTCTTAGAAGGAGAATTGAGCCCAGTGAAGCTGAGGGACCCCTGTTAAGGTCATAAAGTGAGTTAGTATCAGGAATGAGAAACCTACCAAGGTTTCCTGTCTCCCTAAAAATGTTTTAAGGAAAGAGGAAAAAGATCCATGTGCACTATCAGCACATTTATAATGAAACCTGGGTCATCCAACACCCAGCTGACACAGGAAACTGTCATCATACCAAATATCTCCTCTGTAGGGAGGAACCAGCAGGATTCTCTAGAAATAAAAGAAATGACTCAGCCTAGGTTGGATCTTAGGAACACTTCTCATTTAAAATGACTGTCAAACACCAAATTTGACAAATTTACATCAAGAGTAAAGTTACTGCTAGGGCAGATGGGTGCCACCTCTGATCTCGGAGGACCCAAAAATGTCCCATGTGGATACAGGCAAGTCTCCACTGGCTCCTTCATTCTCTGCTAATCCTGGGATGCTTTGGTTATGTCACTTCTTTGGAAGGTACAAGATGATGGTATAGTGCCTTCTCTTTATTGCCATATGGCATGGAGTTTTGATCTGAGTTAGAAGATAATAGACAGAAAAGATGAGAGAAGTAAAGTAAACAGATTTCTTTTCCTTTCAAGACCCTCTCTGGGTTTTACATTTATACTGGCCTGGTGAGGTCCACTAATTCTTCCATCAGGGTTATGACCAGTAACAACAGGCTTTCCACCCACACAGATTACTAATGTCACATCCTCTACCTTTGAAGAAGGGTAACTACATGCCGAGGGAGCCTGTCAGTGGCAGGCACCCACATAAAAAGTGGCTGTACCCGCCAGTGACTCAAGTGTGACAGGGTGACATTCTCAATCACCTCCCTCCCTGTGGCCTCCTGTGAACTGTCCATGATACAATTTCTGACCTGCAGTTGCTTGGGATGGATAATATCCCCTTGATCTGCTGCTGATGGCACAGTACTTCTTCTTTGGCAAAACTACATCTTTCCTTGGTGCAGTGGACCACAACCTGCTTCACGAGGCATCTGCAGAAGGAGCTAACCCCAAACGCCCACTGTGCTGATAAATTTATGCTAGAAAATTATACCCAACCCCACTGCTTTGCTAGCTTGACAGTTGGTATTAGCAGTTATTCATGCAGATGTGTTCTCAGCAGTGCCATTAAAGAGGGGAAAAAAACAAGGCATGACACATTGGGCAGATGTGCACACACACCCATGGGCACACACATACACATATGCACACATACACACACGTATACATACACACACACTACTGGCAAGCAGCCGTCCCACTAACCAACAATGAGCCATGCTACTTTGCCCTGGAATACATCTCCTCCCTTACAGATAAAAGAAAGAATGCTTTCTGGTATAAAGGACAGCTGTGTATATTTGTGTAACTGATTTCAAAAAAAAAAAAGAAGCAATAGCAGAAGCCAAGTGAACCAACCATATGACAGCAGTCATAATAAAACAGCACATAAAAATATTTACCAAATTAAATAATTTGGCTAAGTCAATACCAAGCTTTTAAAGTGAGTTATTAGAATAAACATAAAAGGTGGGAGCTAAAAGGAACTCTTAAAAATTGACTCTGGTGCCTGTGTTATATAGGTAACGAAATGAAAGTCTAGCAGGGTGAAGTCACTTGCCCAAGGTCACACCGCTAATTAGTATGGTGTCAGGACAAGAACCGCCTGTCCAGCTCTCTGGCCAACACCCTTTTGGCTGCACACCACCACACACACAGCCCATAAAGAGATTCAAGCAGATGGTGATGAATTTTCTCAGGCCCAGGGTTCTAAAACTGCTAACCATTTATACCAACACAGGTTTGACTGAAAAGAAACCTGCCTGCAAAGAAAAGGGGAAATAAAAAATGGAAATGTTGCAATTGTACATTTTCTTTGGAAGGCTGAATGGCGCATTTTCTTTGGAAGGCTGAATGAAGCCAACAAGAGCTTCACTTCCCACCCTGGGGCAAATGCAGGAGGCAGAGAAAAATGATAGGACTGTTCCAGCTGTTTCTGACCTGTTTGGGTTTTGGGCACACAAGGTTAGAAATACAAATAAATTACCCTGCAGCCAAGAGTCTATGGTTTCTCCCCAAATTCAGAGTCATGCCCAATTACTCTCCTAAACAACGGGAGAGTCCCTAGACCTTTATTCAACCACTTCCACTTCCTAGAAGACTGCCTTTTTCCTTTGGCCAAGGCTAAACTCATTTTTGCCCTGTGAAAAACAAGTACCTGCAGCTGGGAACAGCCAGTCCAGAGCCAAAGGATCACAGAATATAAGAACTGGAGAGTCACCCCAACCAAACCATTTTTTCCCATCTTATTGTCTCTTTCTTTTGAAAAATATATTTTTTCATTATGATATTTTTTTAAAACAAGAAATTTAGAGAAGAAAAAAATTTATAATCCCATTATTTGATAACAAGCATCATTAGGATTTGGGCTCCTTACTAGACTTTAATTTTCTAGGTGTGTGTGCGTGTGTGTGATTTTAAACAAGGCTATCATCATAATATACAAATGCTTCTGTGTCCTTTTTCTTTACCTAAAATATAGGAAATTATCATAAGAAAATTTCCTATATTGCTAGTCTTCCTACACATAATTCTAATGGCTATTTAGTATTTTATCAATTATATTTATCATATTTACCTAACTGTTCTCCTACTGTGGAACATTTATGTTGTTTCCAGTGTTTCAGTAATCACAAATAAGGCTTCACTGAACACTATTGTGCATGTAGGTGTTTTCATTGTTGTTATTTTAGGTTATTTCCTTCAGAAACTTCCAAGAAGTCAACCGCCTCGTTTTCTTCATTGTTGGAAAAGCACAGTTCCCCAGTGATTAAACAACCTCATAAGGTAATAGGCACAACTCTGCAGAGACCTCGGTTTGGTCCTGACTTAGCTGTCAGTGATCAGCTGTGACAACCTGGATAAGCCACTCAGTTCCTCTGAGACTTGGTTTCCCCTGGGTGTTAGGAGAGAGGGAGCTTCCAGCCTGTCCTGGGTGTTCTGATTACCAGCAGTGTTCTCTTTCCACTATTCCCCACAGCCTCCCATCTGAGATATCAAGGCCCCCCTGACCAATCCCCCTTCCAGTTCTCTGCTTTTCACATCAGCTGCTTGGGAAAATGACTTAATCAAAGCCCATTATGGAACCAAATGTGTTTAAGCATATGGGAGCCAGGCAGATCAAGCCTATGGTGTGCAAAAGCCAGCAGCAGGATCAGCTCTTTCCTCCCCTATGGAGCCCTTGCTACTGCTGTCTGAATCCAGGTCATTCGTGGAATTCAACAGACCTTGCTTCTTCTCTGCAAGTGCTGGCCACAGGGCATTGTGACAATAATAAACACACATGGGCCTGCTCTTGGGGACTTCCCAGAACTCAGTTATGTAGGAGAGGGAGTTGGCCTGTGTCTCCTATTATGGCCCTCCAGAACAGTAAAGAGGCCACTGGTCACATCCCCTAAAGAATCCCTGTTGGTAACAGCACCACACTCAGCCTGGAGCACACCAGAACAGATGGAGGAATACATCACACTCGCCTTTTATATCTTATCCATACAAGAGTTTGCCATTTATTTTAGCCTCTTCAAAAATAAGTTATAATCAACAGAGAAGTGAAGATCATGAAATAACATTTTCTCAATTTTTTAACATCCTGTGGGATACATGCAGTCCCCAGGCTATTGTCTCCTCAGTTATGGAATTAGATGATGCAAGTTCCAGTTCAGTCACCATTTCCCCGTTTCTATACTTTGTCAATAAAAATGATATGGCCTTTGTTCATACAGACCATTGATACTGCAGCACATTATACTGGAAAACACATAAGCTTTGGAGTCAAGCAAACTTAAGTTGAATTCTGATTCCACTTGTTCTTAGCCATGTACACTTGCCAAAATACCATATTTCACATAATCTAAGACACTACTGCAAAGACCTACAGTTATCTTACTACCAAGAAAGAAAAGCCCTTTTAGACATATCTATATTTCAGATGTTCAAATGTGAAAATAATACATGTCACAGAATCAATGACACATGATATTTAACCTCTCTACAGTGAAATTTCTCACTTGTAAGATGGAGATGCTAAATGTCCACATTGGAGGTTGGCCATGAGACGTAAATGAGTAACACTCGTACTATGTCTCACACCAAATCTGGCACATGGTAAGTACTCCATAGAATGCTAGTTTCTCTTCTCTTTCCAAAAGTGATGAGTAGGTTCTGGATAGATGATGAGTTCTCTCAGAGCACATGCCATATCTTATATGCCTTTGACCTTTTCTAACTCCCCATGACTGAGAATATTTCCTTACACATTGTAGCCACTCAGTAAATGGGTGAGGAATACAGATGTTGAATTCGTTTGAAAAACCGATAAATACTGCAGTTGGAAAATCCTGTTGGTGAATGTAGCCAGTGATGTCCCACTGGCTTCCCCAGCACCTGCGCGCGATGAACGCATCTATCTGTAATCTTGACTGGGTCTGGGGACTGGAAAGAAGGGCAATTGCCGGCTCATGAAGCACATCCCTCCTGGAATCCCCCATGCCAGCAGGCTGTGGCTGGAGGCCCGCTGCATTCAGGCAAGAATGTGCAGCTAAATCTCAGTTCCACAGACAAATGCAGCATTGTGGTCCCCGTGGGCCTCCAGGGAAAGCCAGGCTGCCTCTGTGCCCTGGATGTGAACGGCTGTGCATATTAAGTTAGACAGGCTGCATCCCTAAGGGCTTGAAACCTGTCCCCTGGGACTCTCCAAGAGCAGCATCGTGGGGGGTAAACAAATGTCCCATGTGGGGGTGCTGGAGGGAGCAGAAGCTCAGCTGAACAGAACCACGTGGCATTTTTTTTTCCCCAGTATTTTTCTGTCTGCTGATTTTCTTCCTCTGATGTCCTGGTTCTGTTGGAAAGGGAGAAGAGACAGAGAAGAGGAACACATCTCATTTTCTACCACCCACTTTTGATTATTCATATTCATGTGGGAGATAAGAAGAGCCTGCCAGGGACACATTTAAATAACAAGTACTCTAAAATCATTACTTTGCCCTTGACTACAGTCAAGAGACATTCTGTGGGCAGCACACTGTAGTGTGTGTGCACTCACACTCTCACAAATGCACACTTACCTCTCCCTCCAAGCCCCCACAAGCTGGAACTTAGCAGTCCCAGTTCCCTAAAGATTGCTCACACAGATGGATGTGGCTTTCACAACATTAATGGGACTCGAAAGAAAAAAAAAGCAATAATAATTAGCAAAACAGTAAGTACGTATTAGTTGAGGTTTCATGCTTCAGTATTTATGTAGCCTCTCCCCTCGGCTGAAGGAAAGGACAAGGGAGTGGAGAGAGGAGGAATAAAGTCGGAAACCCCATTGCCCATGGAACTGCACAGCATGTTGGCAGTAGGGCAGAAAGCACCTTACTCTGAAGTCAAAATTCCTCCCCCTGGCCCAGGTCCTCAGGAGCTAGCTGCCAGGTGTTCTCGAAAGTTCTTGCAGGACAAAGAGGCCTGGCATATACTTCCTTCCCCTCACCACCTTCCTGGGCCATCTACTAAGACCCTTTGCTTCTTGGTGCTTTGAGGAGGGAAAATGTCTTTCTTACCTCCCCGAGAGGATGGCTGAGAGGGTTAAGGAAGATGCTACCCATGAGCAAAGGCAGAATTCCTGCCCTGGCATCACCCCACCCAGGTCCGTGCCATCTGCTACCTAAAGTCCTGTAATAAACCTGAGGGAAGGCGGGTGGAGCAGGGAGGGGCACTGTCATTTATCTCATTGCTCAGTCCCTATGTCTAATAAAGAATTTAGGAAACTTCCCACAGCACATCTTCTTCTCATTAATAATAGAGTCCTTACTAATAAATCCAGAAAGCAGCACCCAGACCTTGTTAAACCTCTACTAATTAGTATTGAGACACCCATAGCCCAAGGTGGAGACTATCAACACATTCCCAGGAGAAAATGAAACACACCCACAGGTTGGGGTTGCTCAAAAATCCATGTTTGGATCTCACATAAGTGACTGATTTACCCATTGCTATATCCATTAATGCTGTCCAGTAGAACTTTCTGCAATGATGGATATATTCTATGTTGCATGGTCCAATATGGTAGCTACCAGCCAGCCCCATGTGGCCTTTGAGTGCTTGAAATGTGGCTAGGACAACTGAGGAAACTGTATTAGTCTGTTTTCAAGCTGCTGATAAAGACATACCCAAGACTGGGAAGAAAAAGAGGTTTAATTGGACTTACAGTTCCATGTGGCTGGGGAGGCCTCGGAATCATGGGGGGAGGTGAAAAGCACTTCTTACATGGTGGCAGCAAGAGAAAATGAGGGAGACAGAAAAGTGGAAACCCCTGATAAACCCATCAGATCTCGTGAGACTTATTCACTATCACCAGAATAGCACAGGAAAGACCGGCCCCCATGATTCAGTTAACTCCCCCTGGGTCCCTCCCACAACACATGGGAATTCTGGGAGATACAATTCAAGTTGAGATTTTAGCGGGGACACAGCCAAACCACATCAAAACTGCATTTTTCATTTTATTTAGTTTTATGTAAATTTAAGCAGCCACATGTGGCTAATGGCTACCATACTGCATAGCACAGACCCAGAGAGCATCTGGTATGTAGCTGGCACTCAATAAATCTTTGTTCAAGGAAAATCATAAATGGACCGTAGTTCACCATAATAAGTTCTGATTAAGCAAGATTCTCATATTTATTGAGTCCTCATTTTAAACAAAGCCCTGTTTAGGTCAACAACCTTCTGAGATGGGTACTTTTATTATCCCCATTATACAGATAAAGAAACTGGGGCTTCAAAGAGTTAAGTGAGGAGCCCACACCCACATAGCACATGGCCAGCCAAGGATTCAACCCCGGGCAGTGCCCACACACCCATTTCTGTAGTGCCTCCAGCTTTCTGAAGTCTGATGGGACAGCCTCTTCAAACTGCCTTTTCCATTGACCAAAAAAAGCCTTCAGGAGCATCACTTTACTTTCACCAGAATGACATCAAATTAGCCAAGGAACTTTTCCTTTTGAAATAGAAAAAATGAAGATAGACAATTTTTGTCACATCTAGGGATCTTTTAAAAGCCTAGCCAGCGTAGTAACTTTGCAAGGCTCTGTTGTCTGACTTCTGGATCCCAAGTCAAGAGTTAACTATTCATTCCACCACTGTGGCCTCTTCCTCAAACCATCTCCCAAGATGGCAGACTACTCTGAGAGAGCCTCACAATCATCATTTCCATGAGCTCTCACTTCTGAATGCTGACAGGTGAGAAAGGGAGGAGAAAGGGAGGTGAGAAAGGGATTTGAAACACCAGTGACACAAATCCAGAGTTTGTAGCCCCACCCACCATGAAAGATGGGAGAGGCATGTCCACATGTCATATGCAAATGTCCTTCTCCAAGGAGATTATTGCATCCTTGCTCATCTAGTAAATTATTGCTGCAGCCAGCCCTGACCCTTGCACCATCAGGTCTCAACTGTATAACAAGAGAACAGGTGCTCCCACCACCATCGGATGTAAGCACCAAACCAGGGGCTGGGCACCCTTCAAGGCATCCTCTCAACAGCTGACTCTGTTTACCATAGCATGCCCCTGACTCCATCAGACACAGAGCTGTCTTGACAGCATTACTAGCTGAATCAACTTTTGCAGTTCTTCCCACGCCCTCTAAGGCGGCCATTTGGGCTCCTCTCAACAGGGTCCTTTCCAACACTCCAGCAAGCTGTTTGCCTTGACTGACCCCAGAGCTCTGTCATTTGTGGCTGTCACCATTTGAGATACGAAGGGAAAGAAAGATGCAAGTGACACTTACTGCTGATGAAGAAAAGTATTTGTAGAATTTCAGACATTCTTAAACCATTCTAACTTTGCTCTAGCAGGTCAACTGCAAGCCACACAGTTTATCTCGCAGAACCAGTGGTTCCTTGAGGAGGACTTTATATCATAGAGCCTCCCATGTCTTCCTTTTCAATTATTTAAATCCTACCCCCTCTTCTGGGCCCAGTTGAAGACCAACCCACCTTTTCCAAGAGGTCTTCTGGGACCCTTCCAGCTCTCAGGAATGCCCCTTTCCTCAGCTTTCAGGCAGCACCCACTCTCTGCAGTGCCACCTTCTCAGCAACCCACCAAAGAGGGGAAGTGCACCCGGGACGAGTGGGGCCCCACTCATTTTATCTCTGATGTCAAGCTCATGTTCCCTACTCAACAAAACAAATGTGCAGCAGTAAACTGGAAGCAATAATTCACCAGCTCTTAGAGGAAGCCCCTTCCGGGCCCCTTGTGCTGCAAGTGTCTCATTCAAACACACAAAACGTTTTATGAGGGGGATCCTGTTAACACATTTTTGCTGCCAGGCACGGTGGCTCTCGCCTGTAATCCCAGCACTTTGGGAGGCCAAGGCGGGTGGATCGCCTAAGGTCAGGAGTTTGAGACCAGCCTGACCAACATGGAGAAATCCTGTCTCTACTAAAAATACAAAATTAGCTGGGTGTGGTGGTGCATGCCTGTAATTCCAGCTACTGGGGAGGCTGAGGCAGGAGAATTGCTTGAACCTGGGAGGCAGAGGTTGCGGTGAGCTGAGATCGTGCCACTTCACTCTAGCCTGGGCAACAAGAGCAAAACTCCGTCTTGGGAAAAAATAAAATAAAATAAAAATAAAAATGCCATTTTTTTCCCCTTTGCCTTAGTGCCTTTTGTAGACTGGCACTGGGAAGCTTACCCAGGTGATCGACCCTTAATCCAATAATGATTTTTGAGGGATTACTCAACTGCCTCAAGCAAGCTCTTCCTGGCATTGTGAATATAACCAGTCACTCTGCACTTAGTCATGTATCTCATTGCATTGCTCCATGTTTGCCTATGCGCTCTTCTTTCAAGGACAAAGACCATGTCTTACTTTATAGGGCATTTCTCACCACAGCTAACATAGTGCTACAGGGATTCAAAAGGTATTTACTAACTAAAAATAAATGGAAAAAAAGAAACACTCTCCAGACACTGGGCAGAATAGGTGGTTAGAAAACCCTACTGGAAGACAATCTTCAACTTGGAAATGCCCCTGGCAGAGGGTTCAGTGGATTCTCACAGCCCTGGGCAATGCCAGAGCCCCAGGCATGAGCACCCCTCACCTGGTAGTCTTTCTCTTCTACTCCATGAACCATTTCAGTAAATACTTGGCAAAACTAATTTCTCTTGGGTTGGAGAATTCGTTCCGCTGTACTAGTTCCAAAATCAAAAATAAGAGGAAGTATATGAAACCAAAAACAAAAACTCTACGCCTTCCCCCAAGTGAAGTCTGCTACCTCAACAAAATAAGAAAATCACAAAACCAATGCTTACAAATCAATAAATGACAAACAACCCAATTTAAAAATGAGTATGAGATTTGAATAGTCATTTTATCAAAGAAAAATGTGACTGTCTAATAAACACATGAAAAGCTGTTCAACATCATTAATTATTATTAACAAAATGCAAACCAAAGTCCTAACAAGATACTTCTACATACCAACTATAATGGCTATGATCAAAAAGACTCACAAGGCTGGGCATGGTGGCTCATGCTTGTAATCCCAGCACTTTGGGAGGCTGAGGTGGGCGGATCACTTGAGATCAGGAGTTTGAGACCAGCCTGACCAACATGGTGAAAACCCATCTCTACTAAAAATACAAAAATTAGGCTGGGCGCGGTGGCTCACGCCTGTAATCCCAGCACTTTGGGAGGCCAAGGCAGGCAGATCACGAGGTCAGGAGTTCGAGACCAGCCTGACCAACATGGTGAAACCCCGTCTCTACTAAAAATACAAAAAAAAAAAAAAATCAGCCAGGTGTGGTGACGGATGCCTGTAATCTCAGCTACTCAGGAGGCTGAGGCAGGAGAATTGCTTGAACCCTGAAGGCGGCAGCTGGAGTAAGCCGAGATTACGCCATTGCACTCCAGCCTGGGTGACAGTGCAAGACTCCATCTCAAAATAATAATAATAATAATAATAATAATAATAATAATAATAATAATAATACAAAAATTAGCCAGGCATGGTGGCGCACACCCGTAATCCCAGCTACTTGGGAGGCTGAGGCAGGAGAATCACTTGAACCCAGAAGATGGAGGTTGCAGGGAGTTGAGATCATGCCACTGCACTCCAGCCTGGGCAATGGAGTGAGACTATCTCAAAAAAAAGACTGACAATACCAAGTGCTGGTGATGATATCAGAAAATTAGAACTCTCCTATGTTGCTAGTGGGAATGTAATATGATGCCACTGCTCTGGAAAACAGTTTGGTAGTTTCTTAAAAAGTTAAATATATACACACTATACAACTGAGCAATTTCAGTCCTAGGTATTTAACCAAGAGAAATGAAAACATGGCTCCACAAAAGACTTATATGCAAATGTTCACAGCAGCATTATTCACAATCACTTAACACTGGAAACAATACAAACATCCATCAGATGGTGAATGGATAAACAAAATGCGGTATATCCACACAATGGAGTATCACCCAGCAATAAAGATAAATGAACTTCTGAGCCGTGCAACAACATGGCTGAACATCAAAAACGTTATGCTAAGTGAAAGAACTCAAGCACAAATGATTACGTACTTCATGATTCCATTTATATGAAAGTTCTAGGAAAGGCAAACTATAGAGACAGAAAGTAGATTAGTAGTTACCTGGAGCCAGAAGTGGGAGTGAGGATTGACTGCAAATTGGCATGAGGAAATGTTTTAGTGTGTTGAAAATGTTCTAAATATATAAATTTACTAAAAATAATGGAATCACTTACAATGGGTGAATATTGTGAAATAAAAAGAATGAAGAATGTTATGGTATATATAGTTCAATAAAGTTATTTTTTTAAAAAGTAGTGTTAAAACTGCAAACCAACTTCATTGGAGCTTTACAATTGTGGAGTAATTTATAGTTTCAGTTTAAGGACATTAATCAAAGAAGCATCTTAATACTCTAAAGGCTATTAAAATTAGAGACTGGAAAATTTTTTTAAATCATAACATTTTAATGTAAAGTTATTTTTCCTGCACTTTTTAATTCTCCACAGTAGGATATCAACAATTCTCAAGGAAAGTCTAAACCCCAAGGCATCCCAGACTTGCCCAAACCCTAGAAGTCAAAGACCTGTAGACGGGTATAGAATTGGTCGGGGTGAAGTGTCACTGTGGCTCTCAGTGGTGAGTGTGACAGCCTCTTTACCAACAATCTCCTTAGCTCAAGTCTGAACCCAAAAGAACGCTGGCTTTCCAGGTCTCCTGCTTTGAGGACAAGTGCTCAGAGGCCTGCTGCTCTCCTAGGGAGCCCACACCCACCAGCGGAACTAACCAGAGCAGTTTCTCCACCGACGCGTCTTCCAGGTATTTCCTTGCTCAGCTTGCCTAGCCAGGTGGCCTTGATCCAGGCAAAATCTGTATTAGTCAGGGTTCACCAGAGAAACAGAACCAATAGGGGGTGTGTGTGTGTGTGTGTGTGTGTGTGTGTGTGTGTGTAGATGAGAGATTCGTTTTAAGGAATTGGCTCGCACAATTGTGGGGTTGGCAAGTCTAAAATGTGCAGGGCAGGCAGGCAGGCAGACAGGCAGGCTGGAGACCCATAGAAGAGTTGATGTTGCAGTTTCCAGTACAAAGGCAGTCTGGAGGCAGAAATCCTTCTCCCTCAATCTTTTCCTGACTCCTGGCTCCTTCAAGCTCCTAAGACAATACTTGAGCAGAAAGGGACTATGTCTCGTGGCACTCCTGTGACCTGCTGCACACACTACCCAGGAGGCTCTTGGTAAAGGTCTACAAACCTACCAAGACCACAGAACTCCATGCAGTTGGTCATGTTTATCTACTTTCCCATCACACTCTTCAAAATATATATGTCTTAAATTTAATAATAATTTAATAATAATAACTAGGTTGGTATTAATAGATGACCACATCTATTATTTCTTTCACTGTTTTGCTATGGTTATTATCAAAACAGTGAAATGCCAAATGTGTATTTCACAAAGTGGATAAAGAACCTACACAATCAGGCCAGGCATGGTGGCTCATGCCTGTAACCCCAACACTTTGGAAGACTGAGGCGGGTGGATCACCTGAGGCCAGGAATTCGAGACCAGCCTGGCCAACATGGCGACCCCATCTCTATCAAAAATACAAAAATTAGCCAGGCGTGGTCGCAAATGCCTGTAATCCCAGCTACTTGGGAGACTGAGGCACAACAATTGCTGGAACCTGGGAGGTGGAGGCTGTAGTGAGCTGAGATCATGCCACTGCACTCCAGCCTGGACAACAGAGTGAGAATCTATCTCAAAAAAAAAAAAAACAAAACAAAGAAACAAAAAAAACCTACACAATCAAGAAATGTCTACATTTGGTTTGTTGTTTGTTGTTTTTGTTTTGAGACAGAGTTTTTTTCATTTTGTTGCCCAGGCTGGAGTGCAATGGTGCAATCTTGGCTTACTGCAACCTCCACCTCCTGGGTTCAAGCGATTCTCCTGTCTCAGCCTCCCGAGTAGCTGGGATTACAGGTGCACAACACCACTCCCAGCTAATTTTTATATTTTTAGTAGAGACAGGATTTCAGCATGTTGGCCAGGCTGGTCTCGAACTCCTGACCTCAGGTGATCCACCACCTCGGACTCCCAAAGTGCTGGGATTACAGGCGTGGCCATCACACCCAGCCGAAATGTCCATATTTGTAATAACTTCCACCATCTAGATTCTTAGAATCAGCACTTTTCTTGGAGAGTGCAGCCCAGATCAGAATGACTGCTCTTAACAATCCCTCCACCCCTCCAGCAGGGTGGTCTCCGCAGCATTTGGTCATGTATCCCCCACACCGTGGGTAACCACAGGAAAGACTGAGCAGGGAGAAAGCATCTGGTACAAACAGAGACAGCTGGGTGCGGGGGCAGGGCTGCACCTTTCAGGTGGCTGAACTTGTCATGTTCATATTTGGGAGCTGCGTGTGGACAATCTTTCACCCACCACATGAACCTGTGAAGCAGAGGATGCTGGTGTAGAGAGGGGTGAATGAGGAAGCAGACACACAGAGAGAAGCAGAATAAAATTCAGAGGGTTTCTGGTTTCCAGGTATCTACTAAAGCCCTGCTGCAGCCCTGTTCCTGCGTCATGTGGGAAACCCCCCTAAGCACCCCCACTGCAAGGGATAGTAAATCTTCAGAGCAGCATGGTGAGCTCTTGGTAACCCCATCAGTACCTTTGAGTGATCACGTAGCTGTGAAGCACGTACTGGATTCACAGCAAATATGACACCTGAAGCTTGGCTTAGGTACCATCCCTTTACCAAAAAAAAAAAAAAGAAAAAATTTAAATATAGTCTCTGAGTCTTACAGGAGGGAATCATCTCTTCAAAAAATAGTTTTAAAAAATCTTCAAAAGCACCATTTGGAAGAGTCTAAAGAACTACTCACTTAAAAATTTTTAAAAATTTTAAAAAGAACTAACTGCATTAGGGCAAAGTAAAAACTACTGTTTATTGAGCTTGATGCAGAGAGCTGAGGGCAGCTGCCAGGTAGGTCTTTATATTTTCCCTCTCATTTTACTTATCACACCAACCCTATATGATAGTGTTAGCTGTGTGTTATTGGTAAGAAAACTGAGGCTCAGGAAGGATGATTATGACTCCCAAAGTCACACAGTAGTAACCTGTCAACCTTTCCTTTCATTGATGAGTGTTATGAAGCACAACATCTTATATAATGATGCTCTTTCCTGGGCTATGATTGCCCTGAGTCAAATATATAACTAAGTGCCTGTATATTTCATTCTTGGTGAAACCCTTAAAACATGCTATTGACTTCCACTTTTTGTTGTTGCTCTTCTTCCCCAGTTTAAGGTATCAAAATGTCCAACTTCTTCATTTAGCTTCTTCTCCCTCCAGTGGAAACTTCTGCAGAATTGCACATTATCAAAGCCAGATATCCTCAACAAAATAATCGTTCAACTGCACCTAATTTCAATTAGATGAAATGAGATTGGTGATGCTTGACTTTTCCTAACAATAATGCCCAAGGGCTTCCTCGGCTCTACGACAAATTGATAGACCAAAAATCATTTCACTCAGTGCTCAGGGGCAGGAACCCAAAGAGAAAAACGCAATCACCTTTTTCACATAGATCCAGAAGAGACCTCAAGCAAGAACTGGAAATGCAGGGTTTGCTAGGATGTCAGAATGGCTGCTGTCAAGTCCAAGTGCATCATGAGCATTATCTGCAGCCTTATTTCCGCTGGCGTGGCAATGCTGGCCAGCAAAATCCTCTCTCAACCCCATTTCCTCCTTGCTCCCTCACCTCTGTTCCTGGCAGCCCTCTTCAACATGAAGCAACTGCTGACACCATGAAGAAGGACAGAAAAGGGCCAATTGCTCCAGGTCCTCAGCTGATGACGCCAAACAAGTTGGGACAAGATCAATGTGCAGCAAGATCAAAGCTCATGGAAACCCTGTGGCCTTACTCACCATCCCAAAAGAGCCTTGCACTCCCATGGAGAAACTTCACCAAGAGAGTCTGCACTGCTGTCTCAAAAACAGAGATCATGAAAACAGATGTCATCACATTCCACACAAGGCAACAGGTATTTTAGCACGGTTCCCCTGCCAGGTTAATTACTCACAGGAGGGTATGTCTTCTGTTCCCAAAGGCAGAGAGCTATCTCATCTTTAGTGTCTGACTGTTCCAGCATCCACACTGCCTGAGGGCTGGATAGAAATTCTGAATCTCAGGTCCCACCCAGGAATCTGGTTTTTATTTTATTTTGAGGCAGGGTCTCACTCTGTCGCCCAGACTGGAGTGTAGTGGTATGATCTGGGCCTTGACCTCCAGGCCTCAGGTGATCCTCCCACCTCAGTCTCCCAAGTAGCTAGGACTACAGGCATGCACCATCATGCCTGGCTAGAGACAAGATCTCACTATGTTGCCCAGGCTGATCTCGAAGTCCTGGGCTCAAGCAATCCTCCTGCCTCCGTCTCCCGAAGTGCTGGGATTATAGGTGTAAGCCACTGTGCCTGACCTGGAATCTGTTTTTTGATAAGATCCCCAGGTGATACAACCACACATGAAAGTCTGAGAGGCATTCAGCTACTGCATGCAGGAGGATAAGAATACTATGTGTTAATTGACACATTCTCTTTAGAACCTTTTGCCTTCCCCCAGGCATACATGTATTCAGTGAAAATGCATTCATTTGTCATTCAATAAATATTCATAGTGTGTCTACTAGGTGACTAAGTGTCTGGCACTGTCTAAGGGAGATAAGGGTACCCTGGTGAACCAAGCAGACAAGGGTCCTACCTTGAAATAACTCACATTCTAGCTGGGGAAACAAACAGCAAGCAAGAAAGCAAGCAAGCAAATGAAAGAGATCATCACACACCAGGAAGAGTGTTACCAGGAAGAGAAAGAGGATGACAGAAGCAGGACTGAGGTTGGAGGAGAACTTTCTAATTGGGAGGGGAGGATCCAGAAAGGCCTCTCGCCCAAAGTAACACGTAAGCTGAGACTTGAAAGTGAGAATGAGCTAGCCATTCCAAAAAGTGAGGCAAGAACCTTCTGGGCAAAGGGATGAGCTGGTGCAAAGGCCAAGAGTCAGGAAAGAGATTGGCATGTGAGGAACAGAAAAGAGGCCAGGTGGCCGGAATATAGAGTCCAGGAGTGTGTGAAGCCATCCAAGAAGTGGGAGAGATGGACAAGGCAGGGCCATTTCAGGCCAAGAAAGTCATGCCAAGGAGCTTGGATGTTATTCTAGGTGCTGTGGGAGCCACTGAAAGTGGAGAGTGATACCTTACACACACACACACACACACACACACACACACACACACACGTGTGCACATGTGCTCACTTTCCCCATTGTACAGAGTAGACTGCATAAGAAACAAGACTGGACCCAGGCAGGCTGGCTTGGGGACACAAAGGTGAGTGAGGCTTCTTTGCCTTGTCTGCGTCCTGACCGTCAAGACGCTTGCTGGGAGAGGCAACAAGGAAATTAACAAAAAATACAGTGTCATTTTAGGTGCCAGTTAATTAGGCAATATCTTTGTTAAATGTAATCAGCATGTACTCTCTGACCAGCAATTTACATATCTATCCCACAAACAAGCTGGCATGTGTGCAAAATGACATATGCTCAAGATTATTCATTACATGGTTGTATAAGCCAAAATTGGAAACAACCTAAATGTTGAGTAACAGGGAACTGCTTAAATAAATTTTGATGTATCCATACAATGAAATACTAGGTAGCCAAAAATAGGAGCAATAATACTTTCACATTCAGAGTTTCATATATTTGTGTATATGTAAAATATATGTATATATTATATGTTATATATTGTAATATATATAAAAATGTGCATACATGTATATCTATAAATATGTTAATATATGTATATATACAAATGTGTATATGTATATGCTGTATATGTAAAGATATAAATATACATAAATTTAATAATGCATATTAACTGATTAAATATAATTTATATTAATATTTATATTGCTTAACATTGATTATATTACTATATAAAATTTATGTAATAAATTTAATACATTTAATATATTTTTAAAATAATATTTAAATTTTAACATATATAAATTTTCAAGCTAATATTGTTGCATGACAAAAGTAAGGTCCATAAGAATGAATGGCATGCTACCAACTGTGTAAAAGGTTTTTAAAATTCCCACACAGGCCAGGCGTAGTGGCTCACACCTGTAATCCCAGCACTTTGGGAGGCCAACACAGATGGATCACCTGAGGTCAAGAGTTTGAGACCAGCCTGGCCAACATAGGGAAACCCCATCTCTACTAAAAAATACAAAAATCAGCTGGGTGTGGTGGCACACACCTATAATCCCAGCTACTCAGGAGGCTGAAGCAGGAGAATCACTTGAACCCAGGAGGTGGAGGTTGCAGTGAGCCAAGATCGCACCATTGCACCCCAGCCTGGGCAACAGAGCGAGGCTCCGTCTCAAAAAATAAAATAAAATTAGATTAAATTAAATTAAATTCCCATACATATACTTGCCAGGATATACCTTGAAAAATATATATTATTTTTAATACTTTCACATTCAGAGTTTCACATATTTGTGTATCTCTATGTAAAATATATGCATATATTTTATGTTATATATACATCTATATATTAGTGTATATGTAAAATATATGTATATATTATGTGTTATATATACATATATATATGGCCTTGAATGGGAGACATAAACAACTGGTAATAATGATTGCCTCCTGTCCAAAGACAGGGACTAGGGGACATTCAGTCTTCACTGTGTACTTTTATAGCATTTGAAATTTGTACCACATGAATATATAGCCAATTCAAAATAACTAAATAAAATTTAAATGTTAAATGAATGCCTTAAAATAGGTGCTAGGCAAGATGGGGGCACACAGTGCTGAGACAACAGAAGGGTATGTAGGGTGGGGGGTTTGAGGGAGAGGAAGCGGTAACACTTGGGCTGAGTATTGAAGGGCGAACATGGAAGGAGACCTCAAGGGACAAGGAAGTTCCTGACAGAGACCTGGACATGTGCGCCAACAGGGCCCATTCAAGGAAACCCCAGCAGGGTGGGCTCGCTGAAGCCCTTGGGTTCGGGAATGGCCACCAGGACGTGAGGCTGGGCTCACTTCTTCAGGATGTGAGGCTGGGCATGTCACGCCAATCAGCTGGGGCTTTTCCTGAAAGGGGAAACGATGACATGACCAGGTCTCTAGCACTGCCAGATACTCCATACCTGGCAGCAGTGTAGATAGTGGCTAGAGGCAGGGTTGGGTGGGGTGGACTGGAACCTAGTTCAGAAACTACGAAAGGACCTGACTTCTATGGGGAACAGACACAGAGAGTTTCAGATGGCATCAAACAGGTTTGGGAACCGATTCCAGGGCTGGGATGGAATAAAGGACAACTCCAACAGTCTGACCTGGGCTGCCATGATCTATGGCAGAGGAACAGGTACAGCTGATGGAAGAGGAAGAAATGACTCCGGGGGAGGTAGAGTGCTGGGTTCAAATCTCTAGCTGTAGGTCTAGGAGCAAAGTGACTCAGGTCTCTGAATCTCAGTTGCTTCATTTGTGAAATGGAGCTAATATCTATCTTAGAGGATTATTTTAGTCATGAAATGAAATGCTTTATACACAGCACTTACCATGCTGCCTGGCATACAGTATGTACTTAATAAGAGGCAGCCTTGGACAGTGTAGAAAGTACACTTGGTAGAAATGCCTCTACAACAGAGGAATGCCTCATTCACAAAGGTAGGGATTTTGAGGAAATTTTTAAAAATTAAAGGAGGATGTGTGTGATTCAATTGATCTGAAGTTTCATTTCACTGTGGTCCCTAGACCACACTTTGTAGGGTCCCTACAAAGTAGGGTCCCTAGCCCCTTACTTTGACAGGCCTGTGACCAGTTATGAGTGTGGATCGAAGGCTACAGACCTGTCACCCTCACTGGGCAAGCAATTCAAAGTCCAGGCCTTTGCTAAAAGGACAATTTACCAGGATGAGTCAAAGTAGCTAGTTTCAATTCCAGGCAAACACTCGTATCTATACACTCCCAACAGCCAGATCAGCCTGATAACTGTTTGGGGTTTTTCACTTCCTACGTTCTATGTGTTGAACCTTCAACAGTGACTGTAAAGCAAACCAAGACGACCACCCCACTGTGCACTCGCAGGGGCACCCTGCAAAAGAAGGAGTTAAAAAAAGAAAGAAGAAAGAAGCTCAAAACCTACCCTAAAAACATGAACAAAACCCTATTCTGTCATCACCATTACTAAACTAGGTCTATTATGCCTCTTATCGCTGGTTTTGAAGAGGTAACAGACATGTCTTGTTAATTAAAGTCACAGGGATATTTGAAAAATAAGAACAGAAGAAGTATCCAGAAATGTCTAATTTGTGTCACATCTCTTGAAACCAGAGCCCCCAGACACTTTCATGGCCATGGTCCCAGAGACAGCCAGAAAACAAGGTCATCCTTGTTCCCCAAATTGCCACCCTCCTGCTCTAGGTTTGCTCTGTGGGTCTGAACCCAGGACAGGAACTGCCATCTTTATGGTGGAGAAACGATGTTAACAACATGGTCTTTCAGATATGACCAGTCCTAAGCTCTCCAGTATACGCAGGGCTCATCAGGGACCAGTTTTGTACAAATTGCACTAATAGAATTATACCATAAGATCGTTATAAGATATTTGATATGCAAAGAGCCAATGTAAACAAGGGAGTTATCCACCCAACATACATGTTCCATTAAACAGAAAATAAATATTAGCATTCAGTTCAATGGCATTCAGTTCAAGGCCAAAGAAACAGGCCACAAAGGGCAGACACTTAATAAAATTAACTGACAATTAAAACTGACAATGTGGGCAGCCTCCTTAGGAATTCTATCAGATGTTGCATCTGAGTCAATAGCCAAATGGCCTGATGAAAATGCCTTTCTATGGAGAAAGAGTTTTACATTCTGTTCATAGCTCTTCGAAGACAGAATTAAAACACACGTATATTTCACCTACCCTGAATCCATACCTATTTTTAACAAATAAAACAGTCTTTCCAAGACTACATAACTTCCGGCTGGTTTCTGGATGTTGTCTCTGTTCCTTCGCAGCTCCTCCCTTCTAATCTGTTCTACTATTCGCTTCATCTGGTTATAAGCTTTGTTCTTGTTATAAGCTTTGTGTTTTTCCTCACCAATAGAAACTTCAGCTTTCAAAGGTGAGCTGCTCATTTTCTTGGAATTGTAAGATCAAGCAACCTTCCTGGGATTGTTTTAGGTTACGTGCAAGAACTGATGATGAACAAAACATGCCCTTCTCTTTCCCCTGAGCATAGGCTGAGAGGCTGCTACTCTGTCCTCAGAGATTGTTCAGACTGCCTGGGAGTTGAGGGGAGCAGGGACCAGATGGTGAGGCACCCTGAACTCATCTCCAGCCCACGGGTCAACACTGTGCCTTCCGAAACTATTCCTGAAGGCGATTAGGGAGGGCCTTTTCTCATGCAAAGCATCCATGCCTCTGGAGCTACTGCGCCCATCCTCCTAAAAATTTAAAATCTATTACTCCAAATTGGGGCAGAAGACATTTCCCGGGAGGCTGCAGTCAAAAGTTAAAACCCCCTGGTTTTACCAAATCAGTCTTTACTAACCTATGACGCCTCTGAAAACATTCTAATACATCATCACCCCCATCCAACCACTCCCACCGTCCTTGCCTCCAGCGCAGACGAAATAATTCCAGCCGATGGTAACATCTGCAATCTCACGCTAAACTAACTCACAGCAGAAAGAAACAAACGACCCTAGCAGGGCGCCACCGCTGCTGAAGGGCAGGTCCTCTATCGCACCCAAGAAAACCCGACACACGTGTGCGGCCTTTTATTCAGGCGTTTCTGGGCGCGCACTCGCCTCTCCCAGGCGCGCGCGCGCACAACCCTCCTCCACCCCCCCATCCCCCCCCCCCACACACACACACTTGGACACTACACACACAGCTGAGGAGTAACTTTCCTCTTCTCGCGGAGCACCCTATCCCCTATTATCGGCATCTGATCTTCCTAGTTCGGATCCCCGGAACACACGCCTTCTCCAGCCTGCAATCTACACACGTGGGGAAGCGCGTCCAAGTGGTGCCAGGAGGCAGGAGGGAAGCGCAAAGGTGGGGAAGGCCGGGGACGAGGAAGGAGGGAGCTCTGAGTCGGATCTGGGATCTCAGATCCCCGGGGCAGCGTAGATGCAGGGTAAGCTTCTGGGATGCGGAGAGGGAAAGGCAGGGGGGAAGGAACCTAGAGAAGGTTAAAGGGCGGGGGTGGGACGGAGGATGCGGGGTAGGGGTCGCTCACCTAGGGTTTTGACAGCGATCTGTCTGGTGAGGGGCGGCGGCAGGTTAATGCACACCAAGTCCACGTCCTGATGCAGCAGCACCTCATCAATGCGGCTAGTGTAGAAGGGGACACTCATCTCCTTGGCCAGCTCCTCCGCTTCTTCCTGCGTGCGGCCCCACAGCGCCTTCACCGCGAAGCCCTCGTCTTTCAGCAGCGGGATGATGACACGGGCCGTGAGGCTGGTGCCGAACACGCCCACCCCGGGAAGCATGGCTGCTCAGAGCCGCCTGGTTCTGCTTCTGCTCGGATCTCCAGTCCAACGCGCGCACACACCCACCTCTAGCCAGTCCTGCACCCCGCTCCTGTAGCCAATCTAGCCGCGGTGCGCCAGCCGCCGTGCACCGGGCAAGGCGCCCGGGTGCCCAGAGCGCACCGAGCTGCAGGCGGAGCAAGCTCGGGGCGCCTCAGAACGGTGACTGCGGCAGTGTCCGCCACGCGGGGCTCGCGTCCTTCCCGGAGTCGGCGGCAGGGACCCCCCCAGGGCGCCGGAGGCTTCGAAGCCCCCTGGAGCCCCGGCTCAGGCTGCGCTCCCGCGGCAGCGCCAGTCCGCTGCGTGCGCCCCGCCAAGGCCGCTCCATGGCCGGCTCATCCCCGCGGCCGCGCCGCCGCAGCCCGGGACCGGCTCTCTCCCGCGTCGTTTGCGCAGCCGGCGAATCGCACAGACAAACGTCTACACCCTGCCAGAGCACGGAACCGCTCCGCGGGGGAGTCTCCTTTCTTCCTAGCTCTCCGTTGGGAATGAAATAATCCCGCGGCCGCCAGGAGGCCGGCTAAGGATGCGGCCCGGAGCGCGCCGGACTGGGATCCCGAGCTGCAGCGCGGCAGCGGCGGCCACGACCCGGCGCCAGCCTCCTCATTCTGCTGCCATGTTCGCTCGCCTCGCGGCTCGGGCGGCCTCGGCCCCAGGCCGGCTCAGGCTCTGGGATCCCGCGGGGACGAGGGCGGAGTTGGCGAGTTTGGCTGTCAGCGGCCGGTGTTCCTGCACCGCCCTCGCTGCAGCGCCGCGCGCCATTGGCCGCCGCGCGCCGCCCCCGCCCCCGCCGCCGCCAGCTCCGGGTGCGCGCTGCGCCCGGGCCCCGGGAGCCCAGCCCGGCTCCTCCCCGGCCCCGCCCAGGCCGCCTCGCCCGCCTCCTGCCCCTCCGCTTCTTCCCTTTCTTTGCCCTCACCATCTCCTTCTCTTCCCTGCTTCACTCCAAACCCCGCCCCAACCAAGCAAATACATCTATCTAGGCAGGACGCGCCCTAATAGGTTAGTCGCCTGTCCCTTGGAAGAGAGCAGTGGGCGCCTTGGCCTGGGGTAGGTGAGGGGACCCGGCGAGGTGCGAACAGCCGATAATAATAACCTCGGCTCCCGGAGCGTTTCTTGCGTGCTGAGCATCATACTAACGCCTTTCCAGGTATTGTCCCTTTTAGTCCTCGCAGCAACCTAAGGTTATTGTAAACCCATTTTACCAGTGATGTGAATGAGCCGCAATGAAGGCTAAGGGACTTGCGCAAGGTGACATATATAAGCAACAGGCCTGCGATTGGAATCCAGGCCCCAGAGTCTGGGCACGGAACCGCAGACTTCTACGGTCTCCTTCCAAGCTAGCCTGCTCCAATCGCGCGCCCCCGCTCCGGCCGCGCACGCACGGTTCAGCCGCCTTCTTCCAAGACAGTCCAGTCTTGGCGGGCTCCCATCTGCCTCCCACCTCCCCCGCCCCTAGGCCCATGCCCGCCCCCGCGTAGACGCTGTGGTGTGTACGGCCGCAGCGGGGCAGGGGGTCTCCGAGGCCGCTGCGGCACGTGCGTCTCGTGTCTAGTTTCGAGACGGATACGTCGCCCTGGCCACATGCCACGCCCGCCTCTTGCTTCGGCTCCTGTTGCCGTCGCCACTTACCGCAGCCTTTACTTCTCCCAGCTTGCCCCCACCTCCACCACCCTGCACCCTTCCCAGGCCCTCGAGGGGGCACTGAGGAGGACTGGCCAAGGCTGGCCCCGCACCTCTGGAGCCATGGGGACTCTGCGTCTGTCTGGTTTTCCGCCATATCCTTGGCACCTGGCACACTGCCTTGCCCTGTATGTAGTAGGCGCTCAATAAACATTTGCTAAATAAATGTATGCATATTCATCGAATGCCCGCTTCGCACCCATTTGGTGCCGGGAGAGGGGACTAAAAAGTGAAAGGCACGTCTTCTAGCTGAAGGTCTCTGGAGAGGTCATGGGTCAGGTCATGTTCATCTCCTGTCTTCAGCACTGGGCTCAATGTAGCACATGGTCTGCCGCAACACGAGTGGAAAACGTGATACTTGCAAGAGTTTAAAACAACTTGTAACAACTGGCAGTGAGGCGGGGCGCGTGGAGAGAGCAGGATACCAAAAAAGCTGTGTGTGGCAATGCGGGGTGGAGGCTGACCTAGGGCATTAGAAGAAAGGCACAAAGGACACAGTGCTGGGTGGCTGGCAGCAGCCTGGGGAGGACTGAGAGACAAAGAGGGGTGTTGCCCTCAATACTAACAGGCTTCTTTTGAGCAGGGGTTTTGTAAGAACCAAGGCAGGAACGCCTATCTGGGCACAGGGGCAGGCAGTGGTGTCAGACCCAAGGGGCTGGATACATCACAGGCTTGTCACATGTCAGAGATGGCCAGGCTTTCAGGGAGCAGAGGATGTGCAGTAGTGGTCGGAGCACAGCTAGAGCCACTGGCGTTGACTTCTGGCTCTGCCATTTACTAGCTGTGGGACCTTGAGCAAATCACTTCTCTGCGGCATAGTTTCATCTATAAAATGGGTGGGTAATAATGGTATATACCACAAGGGGTTTTACAGGATCGTATTCACTAATACTTACAAAGTCCTGAGAATAAGGCATGGTGCATAGTAAGTTCTATATAAATGTTAAATAAATAAATATAGAGAATGGGTCTGTTACCAATGTCATTTCTTGATGAGAGAGACCATTGTACAGTGAAGCAATATCTAAGTAATAAGATGGAGTTTTGTTTGTGTTCTTTTAAAAAGAACTCTACCCCTAGCTTGAGTGTGAATAAAAAATGGACCTTCTAAGCCTGCTGTGGTGGCTCACACCTATAATCCCACTGACTGGGGAGGCCTAACCAGGGGTATCGCTTAAGCCGGAAGTTCTAGACCAGCTTGGGCGACGTAGCAAGACCTCATTTCCTAAAAAATTTAAAAATTAGCTGGACATGGTGGTGTGTTGTGTGTCTGTAGTCCCAGCTACTTGGGAGACTGAGGTGGGATTGAGCCCAGGAGTTCAAGGCTGCAGTGGGCCTAGCCTTGATCATGCCACTGCACTCCAGCCTGGGTGACAGAGGGAGACCTTTTCTCTAAAAAAGAAAAGAGACCTTCTATCTATATAACATCAAAGAAAATGATCACATTTTATTCTCATTAAAATTTATAAATAAACATTATCTCCATTTCATAGAAGGCAAAACTATGTCCTGCTAGCAAGTCCAACTTAAAGGTTTAAAACAGAATACTTCATTTCCAACCTTACTCTCAAGCCATTCCTCCTTCATCAATAAATAAAATCACCAGTTCACCAGTTGGCCAAAAGCCATGGAGTCATCTGGTCCTCATATCCTTTATAGCCAACCATCAGCAAATCCTGTCTGCTCCACTTGCAGAATGCATCCAGAGTCTGCCCACCTCTCCCTGCCATGGTTGGGGAGTCAAAGTCACCATCATCACTATCAGGACCACTGTCCTTACTGGTCTACCTGCTTCCAGTGATGCCCCTCGTAGTCCATAGATCCCATAAAAGATAAGTTGAATCATCACCCGTCATGCTTGGCACCTGCCAGTGAATACCCTTCACACTTCAAATCAACTCCAAAGGCCTCAGCATGCCTGAAAGACTCTACCTGGCCTAACCCATAGGCCTATTGCATACCTCCCCATACCCTGCATTCCAGCACTCTGGCCTCTTTGCTGTGCTCTTTACAGGCTGAGTTTGTTCTTGCCCCAGGGCCTTTGCACTTGCTGTTTCATTTGCCTGACACCCCATTCCCCCCACCCCAACACACACACACATACACACACAAATCCACGGGGCTCTCTGCTCACTTTGCTCAAGCCTCTGCTCAGACTGCCTGGCCTGACCATCTCATCTAAAATGACAACTCTGTCATATTTCATCCCTTTGTCCAGCTTTATTTTTCTTTATACCTCCTGTCACTGCCTCACATTATATTATATGCCTGCCTATCTGTTTATCATTCATTTGCCTTGACAGGTTACAAATTCACTGAGATAAGAAGTTTGGGTGTCTCATTCACTTCTGAATCCCCAACACCTAAAATTGTACCTGGCACCTGCTAGATATTCAGTACCCATTTGTTGAATGAATGCTTGCACATTCCTCTAACAATCATGTGTTGTTATAAGTTAATATTTATAAAGTCATCAGAACCGTGCCAAGTGCCGTGTGCAAGAATGGCACATGCAATGGAGATGCACAGTGGAGTAGGACAGAGCCCCTGCCCCCAGGTTGCTTACGCCTGGTAGCCCATTGATTGATGACATGAATTGGCCATGGCAACACAACATGACGCACCCATAAGACTGGTCTGCATGGGTTGATTCGAGAGCAGAGGAGGGTTCTGAAATCTGAATGGGAAGACTGTGAAGACATGCACTGAGAGAAGTGGGCTGGGCCCAGGTTTTGAAAGACTTCCTGGAGTTAGCCAGAAGAAAGAGAGGAGAATAGTCTCGACAGAGAAAAGCTATGAACAGGCTAACTCAAGGTGGAAAGCTGTATGCGGAGGCCAGAACATGGTGGGGAGAATGAATAATTAGATTGGTGTTTTAGAGCCATTACTCAACTTCCAGTACAGAGGGTGTCTCGTGAGGGGCCACTGGACCCAGCCCTTCAGGGAGCCCACTGCAGTGACCCCAGAGTGAGGGAAAGAGGACTAAGAAAGGTGGCAGTTATGGGAATGAAGATACCAGCACAGAGATATCATGAGATAACAAAGAGATGAAGTCTCCTGGGCCTGGCAGCTAATTGGACATGGGAGGAGAGTAAAAAAATGTTGGCGTCATTTCTCAGCTTGAGGCTAGTGGAGAAGCTAGGCGTGCACTTGTGTCCTCACTAGTTAGGCAGGTCTTGCTTCATCCATCCTGGGCATGGGAGGATAACTCTGAGCATGCATCTATTCTGAGGTTCTGATGATAAAGACCTTTGCACACACAGTGCCTGTGCACATGGTCCCCACAGACGAGTCTTATTCTTCAAGTTCTTCATGTGAAACCCTCTTTTTTTAATTAATTAATTAATTTATTTATTTATTTATTTTGAGATGGAGTCTCCCTCTGTCACCCAGACTGGAGTGCAGTGGCACGATCTCAGCTCACTGCAAGCTCCACCTCCCGGGTTCACACCATTCTCCTGCCTCAGTCTCCCCAGTAGCTGGGACTACAGATGCCCGCCACCACACCCGGCTAAGTTTTTGTATTTTTAGTAGAGATGGGATTTCACTGTGTTAGCCAGAATGGTCTCAATCTCCTGACCTCATGATCCGCCCACCTCAGCCTCCCAAAGTGCTGGGATTACAGGCGTGAGCCATTGCGCCCGGCCCATGTGAAACCCTCTTAAACCGTGGATCCTGAATCCCAACCTGTAACACAACCTGAGGTTCTGACATTTTAAAACAGTTCTGAAAATAAGCCTAAAATTTTCTTTCCCTCCATCCATGATTTAGCTGCCAGCCTCTACTTTTTGCATTTGTGTGAAGATTTTAGGCCCAGTTGAATGTCACTGAAAATAAATGTCCAGCCTGGGCAACATAAAAAGATCCTGTCTTTACAAAAACTTTTTTCAAATTAGCCAGGAATGGTGTGCGTGCCTGTAGCCCCAGCTACTTGAGAGGCTGAGGGAGAAGGATTGCATAATCCCGGGAGTTGAAAGTTGCAGGAGCTATGATTGACTGCACTCCAGCTTGGGAGACAGAGCAAGACCCTGTCTCAAATGATAATAATAGTAATAATAAAATGAAATAAAATAAATGAAATAATTGTATTCCTATCTCTAAGATGATGATAAAATGGAATTTCTTCTCATATTAATTTAGTTTAATGATAATTTAAGGTATTTTTCACTGTAAGAGTCATTTGTACGTATTACAGACATTTTAGAAAATAAGACGAAGTCAGCCTTAATCATTCTATCCTTACACAGCCACTGTAAATAGTTTGGTTTACTTGCTTCCACAATATTGGAAATATGTTACTATTTTAATGAAATAGAAAAGTTTTGCTCTTTAATTAGATTTGTTTATTGTTCTTTATGACACAAAGTAGAAACAGGCTTTGATTCTTTTTAGTTGACTGTCCATAGATGCCCAGTGTTCCTATAAATCTTAATGTCTGTGGAATGAAATACTTTTGCTTTTTGTGGAATTATAGCTTTGCCAGGTTCAAAAACTTGAATAGTAAAGGTCTATAAACAGTCTAATATTCCTAGCACTGAGATATGCTCCAGAACTAGTTTTCATTAGGAGAGTTTTAAAAGCATCCATTCATCATTATACATTCAACTCTTTGTTCTTTTTGTTGTTAATAATAGGTGCCACTTACTAAGTGTTCATTATACGTGATGCACTAAGCTAAGCACTTTTCTTTTTTCTGAGAGATGGGATCTCACTATGTTGCCCAGGCTGGTCTCGAACTCCTGGGCTCAAATGATCCTTCCGCTGCAGCCTCACAAAGTGCTGGGATTACAAGCATGAGCCAACAAGCCAGGCCCAACTTGTTTTTAAGCTAAGCACTTTGCATATATTTACATTTAGCTCTTTCAGGAAGATACAATTATCCCCATTATTACAAAAGAAACTGATAGATTTTTTAAAGTTAAGTAATTTTCCTGAGATCATAAAGGCAAGCATTTGAACTAAATCACCTAATTTCAAAATCAGAGTATGTGACCACTGAGCATGCTGCCCTTGAACTTACATTGTGGTATAATAGGGTACCACAGCCCCTATTTTCCCCTGCAAGCACTTGGTCCCTGTAGGGAAGGGAAGCACACTTAATTCCCCTTCTAACACAGGTCAACAGGCTCCCTAAGCAGGGGGTTACTAGAGCTGCAGTCCAGGTCAGGAAAAGCAACACTGTGTTTGTGGTGCGGCTCCTCGGGGACAGAGGCATGGAACGGTATTGGCCACCATAACTCTGCCTTGGACTACCGCAGTAGCCTTCTAACAGGACTCACTGTCACTCTCTTGCCTTCTGCAATCCATAGGTAATCAGAGAGCTTTCAAAAGCATCACTCATGAAACTGACTTGTTTAGAGCCCTCCCCTGCTCCCTGCGCTGCACTGACAATGCCATCTATACCCCTCAGCATGACCCAGGTGGCTCTGTTCTCTGCACTTCTAGTGCCACCCACTCTTGACCTGATGCCCCTTCTGCCTCAGTCACACTCACCTCCCCTTGGTTCCTTGGTCTTGCCTGGATCTTTCCTGTCTCAGGACACTTGGACTTTCTGTTTTCTCATCTGGGAAGTGCTCTTCCCTCAGCCCTTCATTCTCCTGGCTGGAGAGGCCATTGGGGCTCAATTCACATGTTGCATCCTTCCCACCCTATTGAGGTAGCCATCCTTCCCAAGCCCCTGCTGTTGCTCTCCAACAACACCGCGTTTAATTCCATTCACAGCACTTACCACAGTCTGCTTTGAGTTCACTTCCTTGGCCCCTGGCTGGAATGTAGGAATGTAAGCCTACTGGGGCAAGGGATATTATTGGTTTATTTACTGCTATATCCCAGGGCCTAAAACAGTACTTGGTACCTCACTAATACATAATAAATACTTGTTGAATGAACAAATTAGCCACAAAGGCGTGGAAACTTTTTTTTTTTTTTTTTTTTGAGACTGAATCTGGCTCTGTCGGCCAGGCTGGAGTGCAGTGAGTGGCACGATCTCAGCTCACTGCAACCTCTGCCTCCTGGGCTCAAGCAATTCTCCTGCCTCAGCCTCCCAAGTAGCTGGGATTACTAATTTTTGTATTTTTAATAGAGACAGCGTTTTCACCATGTTGGCCAGGCTGGTCTCGAACTCCTGACCTCAGGTAATCTGCCTGCCTCGGCCTCCCAAAGTGCTGGGATTACAGGCGTGAGCCACCGCACCCGGCCATGAAAACATTTTCTAACGTCATGTAATAGCATGACAAAATGCTTATAGCATGACGTTGGGTTTACAATGCCAGTCAGTATTGTATGTATAATATGATCACAACTACATATTTTTGTCTTTGTGTTATGATAAAATATACGTATGTATATGATAAAATATAGAAAAGCTACCATCTTAATTATTTTAACTCCACAGTGACATTAAGTAATTCACATTTTTGTGCCTACAACTATAAATTTTTAAGAATAAATAGCCTAGAAAATGAAAAGTAATACACCTTTGCCTGCATTTCTGGTTTTTCCATTTTTTTTTCTTACAGTCACAATAAGGAAAAGAAACCATTTAAATGTGTAAGTGAACTAACAGTTCTGGTCAGATGCTTCAGTATCTCTTTCCTCTTCCATTCTGAGTACATGAACTTGTCAAGACCTAAAAGTGTCTAGCTAGTCACTAGTCCTCTGAAATGCCCAAAATAATAGTTGACTCAAGTAGGTTATACTGCAACACGTTGCTTATCTGTATCACCCACCAGGCCAAGAGAAGCCTAGACACTCTTTGACTTACCACCAGCCAATCTATGGCTCTTGGAGAGCGGGAATGCCCTTACATCAATGCATAGGAGTTTAGGCATCACAGAAGCTTCTGAGCAAAATACAGAACTTTTCTTTTTGGTGTGTGAAGGTCTCAGGGTGCTTGGCCTCTTCATGCACACAGCTTCTCTGGGGTAATGCTGTTCAGTGTACGTTTCTGCTGCCTCTGTCAGCCTATTAAGGTGTGTAGGGCAGATGATATAATTGCGCTATAAATAAACAGACAGCAAGGATGGTGCCCTTTCCAGGCAGATCAATAAGCACATAGGAAAACTATTTAGCGTCCCAAGTCATTAACATGCTGCTTATACACACAGATTTAGTGCACCAGAAAAATAACCTTTATAACAGTCTGGCAGAAAGTAAATAAATACTATTTAAATTTTTAATTTCCAGTTGAGAGAGGAGAATGACATGGCATCTGCAATTCAAATTAAGAGTACTATTTTAGGCCCTTCGTTTCTGGTTTAAAGAGTAGATATATAAAACAATACATGCTCCATTTCAAACATCTCACCTATTTATTAATAGATGCAACATGCAGAATCCAAGATAGATCACTTGACCTGGAAGTATCTAGGCAGTAACACCATACGTAGGCTGTGGCCTTGTAATTATAAGGTCCAAAAGAAAGCCACTCAAAAGGCTGAGAGACACTGGGTTTGTTTTTAGATAGAAGTAACCAGGGCCAAAGTGCAGCCTGGGAGAAGGATGGCAGAGAGAACACATCACACAACTCAGCAAAAAAGGTGTAGAAGGAAACGAAGACTATTCATTTCTTCAACCAGAGATTATAGAAAAAATATTTAACAACTGGTATGCTATGGGCACCGACCAATCAGAGCAAATATGTATATTTCTGGAGCAGAGTCCTGGAGGTTCCTTGCTAGACCAAGCCTCAACACTTTCATTCACTAGATCACAGTAAGGTTTGGGGGATCTTGGGAAGAGGTCAAGGCAGTGGGTGGCAAAGCGGTACTAAAAGCTCAGGGCAGCAGCTGAATATTTCACCAAGCAGCACAATCATACCTGGTACTTGTATACCAGCTGACCAGCAGCCCTACCTTCTTTCCACTTCTGTTCATTTACTGCCTGCTGTGTTTGAGTCCTGGAGATGCTCACTGAGAATACAGAGCTAAAAGCTCCATCCTTAAGCTTTCCCTTAAGGAACTCATGGCTTTGTGCATCAAACAAGCAAACAGATAACTGCAATATAGTGTGTGAGAAGTGCAATCACAGAGGTAAGCTACAGTTCTATGGGAGCCTCCTCTCTGTTTCTCTTTCACACACCCCCACACACACACACACACACACACACACACAGCAAACCATTAGCTTTCTTGGTTTCCCAGGATATTATTCAAGTTCTGCTTCTGCAATCCTTCTTCCCTTTCTGATAAGACTAGATTCCTGAGATGTAGACTCTTTCTCTTCCTCTTTTCCAAACAATAAATTTACATTATATTTAGAAACAATAATAGATATTTAGAAAAAAAATCTTTACCCAACAAAGAATACACATTTTTTATAAACCCACCCAGAACATTTACACACTTGACAATTTATTGGGCCACAAAGGAAATCACAACAAATTCCAAAGGAATGAGGTCATTAGGTCGTCCTTCACCACAGGGCACTGAAAATAAAAACCAACAGTAGGAAAGTATCCCCTCACCCCATAAATTTGACAATTAAAAATATTATTCTAAGCAATTTCTGGATTAGAAAATAAACCATGATGAAAATGGAAAATATTTAGAAATGAAACACAATAAAAGCACCCATATAAAAACATATGAGGTACAGCTAAAATTGTACCCAAGTAGAAATTTGGAGCTTAAATTCATTTTTTTGGATAACAAAAAAGATTTGAAATTTAAGGAATTAAGCATTCAACTTAATGATCTAGAAAGAAACAATAATAAACACTCTAGAAAAAAAAAACTAGAAGAAAAGAGAAATAAATATAAAAGCATAAAAAGAATCTAAAACCAAGAATATAAATATTATTAATAAACCAAAAGGTTGTTAATAAAAAGACTAATAAAATAGATAAATTTCTGGAAAGAACAATTAGAAAAAAGAGAAAAGGCTAAAACAATATTTGGGATAAAAATACTATAAATAAATCTTTGCCTATAATTTTGAAAAATTTCCTGAAATGGACAACTTTATAGAAATTATAAAATTGACTCAAAAGGAAATAGAAAATCTTAATATGCCAATAACTATTAAAATAATTGAATGGCTAGTCAAATATCTCTCCTCAAGAAAGGCAGTATGTTCTGACAACTTTACAGGCAGGTTTAACCAAACTTTCAAAGAACAGACAATTTTATTTTAGGCAAGCAGTTCCAGATAATAGAACAAAAGGGAAAAGCTATCTAACTCATTTTTTGAGGTTACTATAGACATAAAAGTATGTATTTTTTAACAAAAACAACAAAACAGCCGGGCGCAGTGGCTCACGCCTGTAATCCCAGCACTTTGGGAGGCCGAGGAGGGCGGATCACGAAGTCAGGAGATCGACACCATCCTGGCTAACGCGGTGAAACCCCATCTCTACTAATAATACAAAAAATTAGCCAGGTGAGGTGGCAGGTGTCTGTAGTCCCAGCTAATTGGGAGGCTGAGGCAGGAGAATGGCGTGAACCCGGGAGGCGGAGCTTGCAGTGAGCTGAGATCGCGCCACTGCACTCCAGCCTGGGCGACAGAGCGAGACTGTCTCAAAAGGAAAAGAAAAGAAAAGAAAATTATAAGCCAGTATCATTTATGAATATAAAGAATTCTAAATAAAAACCTTACAAATCTGATTTAGCAGTATATAAAAGTAATCATAACTCAGTGGGGTTTATCCTGTAAAAATATCCATGACTCAACATTAGAAACCTGTATTAAGTTACTTTAAAATATGAAGATATTAAAGGGAGGACAGCCATAAATTGATGGCAATAAAATTCAACACCCATTTATTTAAAAAATAGTAAAACTTTTAGCAAACTTGGAATAGATGGAGATTTTAACTTGATAAAGATTTTTTTTGAACCTGTAATAATGTCATAATAACTGATGAAACTTCAAACACATTTCTACTTAAGCCAGTGTACTCATTATCATTCCTACTACCTGATATCACACTGGAGGTTCTTCCCAATGAAAAGGGACAAGAAAAGAAAAGGCAAAAGAATCACGGAGGAAAAGATAATACGGCCATTTTTTCTTCTTTTTTTTTGGAGACGGAGTTTCACTCTTGTTGCCCAGGCTGGAGTGCAATGATGTGATCTCGGCTCACTGCAACCTCTGCCTCCCGAGTAACTGGGATTACAAGCATGCGCCACCACACCCGGATAATTCTGTATTTTAAGTAGAGACAGGGTTTCTCCATGTTGGCCAGGCTGGTCTCAGCTCCCGACCTCAGGTGATCCACCCACCTCGGCCTCCCAAAGTGCTGGGATTACAGGTGTGAGCCACTGTGCCCAGCCGATATGGCCATTATTTTCAGATTGTCTACTTGAAACCCAAGAGAATCTTCAGGCAAACTATTAGAGGATTCAGCAAAGTTTCTGGATACAAGATCAACACATAAAAATCAATAGCATTCCTTGATACCAATTAGAAAACATAGTAAAGAAAATATTCTCATTCACAATAGCAACAGAAATGATATTGATCCTGAGAATAAGTTAAGCAAATTACGTTCAGGGCTTTATAGGGAAAATATCAAAAGTTGCTGAAAAAGGAAAAAGAAAAGCTGAATACATGAATAAAAAGAAAGATTTAATACTCTTTCCCCAGATGAGTCAATAGTTCAATAAAGGTAATTTGGAAAAAGAAGTACAAGGATGGGAAAAGAGCTGTTTCAATTATCTATTGGTATATAACAAACCTCCCACAACTTAATGGCTTGAAGCAAACATCATGATTCTGCAGTCTGGAATGGGCTCAGCTTTGCAGTGCTGTTGTGCTTGCAGGCGGTCACTCAGGTGGCCCCATTTAGCTGGGGACCAGTCAGCTGGGTTGCTAAGATGGGGGCGCTCCTCTCTTTGCCTAGGAAGTCTCAGGGCCTGTGGGCTCTTCCTGTAGGTCTCTCCAGCAGGGTAGCCAGACTGCTCACACGCTGGCTCAGGACTCCAAGAATGCTAGGCCCTGCCTAAGGTTTATTTTTTATTTTTATTTATTTATTAATTATTATTATTATTATTTTTTTTTTTTTGGAGACAGAGTCTCCCTCTGTCCCCCAGGCTGGAGTACAGTGGCATGATCTCGGCTCACTGCAACCTCCGCCTCCTGGGTTCAAGCGATTCTCATGCATCAGCCTCCCTAGTAGTTGGGATTACAGGTGCCTGCCACCACACCCGGCTAATTTTTTTTGTTTTTTTAGTAGAGACAGGGTTTCGCCATGTCGGCCAGGTTGGTCTCAAACTCCTGACTTCAGGTGATCTGCCCCTCTCGGACTCCCAAAGTGCTGGGATTACAGGCGTGAGCCACAAGGCCCAGCCCCTTGCCTAAGGTTTAGATCAGGAACTGACATAGTATTACTTCTAGTTCATGCTAAGATTAAAACAAGTCACAAGGCCAACCTAGATTTGAGGGGAGGGGACTACACAAGCGTTTGTATACAGGAGGTGTGTTCATCATTGAATCTGCCACCAGGGGCCTATCACCCACCAAGATTTGTAAAGTTACAGTATAGTGTTTGTAAAGTTACATTGTAGTAAAGTTACATTGTAGTGTTGGTGCAAGACTAGATAAATCAGTCAATGGATCAGCATAGAGACCCCCGAAACATGTCTGCATATGTGGAAACTTGATGAAAGAAGTGTCATTATACATCAGTAAGGAAAGGATAGACTTTTAAAAGTAGGGGTGGGACAAATGATACTTTGTACCTATGATGCATTTCGACTGCTATAATTCTTTGACACTCCTCCCTTTAAGATATGGAGTGTAATTCCCTTCCCATGGACTGTGGGCTAGACTTGGTGACTCACTTCTAATGAACAGGGTAAAATGGGACAGTGAGTGACTCTAGAAACTGTCATAAAAGGCACTGCAGCTTCCTACTTACTCACATTTTCTCTCTGTCTTGCCTCACTCACTCTGGGGGAAGCCAGCTGCCATGTCATGGGGACTTTCAGGCAACCTTGTGGAGGAACCAAGGCCTTCCACCAACAACCATCTGAATGTGCCACCTTGGAAGCAGATCTTCCAACATGGCCTTCAGATGTGTCTTAGTCTGCTCAGGTTGCTATTAAAAAAAAACTACAGGCCGTGTGTGGTGGCTCATGCCTATAATCCCAGCACTTTGGGAGGCCGAGGCGGGCGGATCACCTGAGGTCAGGAGTTCAAGATCAGCCTGGCCAACATGGCGAAACCCCGTCTCTACTAAAAATACAAAAAATTAGCTGGGTGTGGTGGCAGGCAACTGTAATCCCAGCTACTCAGGAGGCTGAGGCAGGAGAATCGCTTGAACCCAGGAGGCGGAGGTTGCAGTGAGCCGAGATCACGTCATTGCACTCCAGCCTGGGCAAAAAGACGGAGTGAAACACCATCTCAAAAACAAAACAAACAACAACAACAACAACAAACTGGATGCCTTAAGCAACAAACGTTTGTTTCTCACAGTTCTGGAGACTGGGAAGTCTAAGATCAAGATGCCAGCAGATCTGGTGACTGGTGAGGACCTGTCTCTTGACTGGCTGTGTCCTCACATGGCAGAGAAAGAAAGAGCTCTGGTCTCTTCCTCTTTTCGTAAGGGCACTAATCTCATCATGAGGGCTCCATTCTCAGGACCTCATCTAAACCTACTCACCCCCAAAGACACCACCTCCAAATACCATCACACTGGGGATTAAGGCTTCAACACATGAACTTGGGGGGACACAAGCATTTAGTCCACAGCAAGATGACTGCAACCCTGCCCCACAGCTTAACTGCTGAGCCAGAACCACCCACTAAGTTGTTCCCAGATTTCTGACCCTCAGACACTATGAGATAATAAATGTATATGCTTCTAGGTTGCTAAACTTGAGGATTGTTTGTTATGCAGCAGTAGATAACTAATATAATGCCTTATCCCTAAAACAAAGTAAAATTGGATCACACCTTACACAAAAAACTTTAGAACTTCTTAGAAAATAAAACGAGAATATCTGTGATTGTAGAAAATGTTTCTTAAATCAGACACATATCCACATACACGTAGACACATGCAATAAAGAAAAAGACACGATGACCAAGGTTAAAAGATGAATGACAAAGAAGGTGAAGATATTTGCATCCTACAGTATCCAGAACATAAAAAGAATCAATTATTAAGTAAAAGACAAGCAGCCCAATAGAAAAACAAGTAAAATAAATAGATAATCCATGGAAGAGGAAATCTAAATGACCATTAAGCCATCTGTAGTAACAAGAGCAATGCCAATTAAACCAGGGTGAGATTCTATTTCCCATCCATCAGATTGACAAAAATTAACAAATATAAAAATATCGAGGGTTGATCAGGATGTGGGAAAATGGGAATTCTCAGACATTGCTGGTGAGAATACATATTGTTATAGCCATTATGGAAGCAATGTGGCAGTATGTAGTTAAACCTAATATGTACATACTCTGTGAACTGACAAGTCCACTTTTAGCAGTTCCAGAGATTCCATCGAGCATTTCTGGCACAATAGCACAAGAAGACCCATACAAGGTAGTTATTGCTGAATTGACTACAGTAGGGAAATATTGGAAACAACCTAAATGTCCATTTATAAAATGAATAAATAAAATACAGTATATTTAAGGCCAAGCAGAATGGCTCACGCCTGTCATCCCAGCACTTTGGGAGGCCGAGACGGGCAGATGACTTGAAGTCAGGAGTTCAAGACCAGCCTGGCCAACATGATGAAACCCTGTCTCTACTAAAAATACAAAAAAAATAGCTGGTTATGGTGGTGCATTCCTGTAATCCCAACTACTTGGAAGGCCATGGCAGGAGAATCGCTTGAACCCAGGAGGCAGAGGTTGCAGTGAGCTGAGACCGCACCACTGTACTCCAGCCTGGGCGACAGAGCAAGACTCTGCCTCAAAAAAAGAACAACTTAAAAAAAAAAGATAGTATATTTAAGCCAATACTATACCAGACTAAAAGAATATACCACAGTTATATGTGTCAATATGCATTGGTCTCAGAAACATAACATTGATTAAAATAAAAATGTGATTACTTTTATATTGATGTTAAAACCAATGCAAACAATTCTGCATTTTAATGAATACATATGTGTGTGTGTGTCTGTTTAAAACAAATTGGAAGAACTCATAGGACTGTGTGCTAAAACTGTATGTAAATTAAACTTCAATACATGGCTTAAAAAATAGACTGGGAAGACAGCAGTGGTTAATTTTACATGTCAAATGTAAAAATGACTGGGCCAGAAAGTGTCCAGATATTTGGTCAAACATTATTGTGGATGTTTGAATAATAGAATAACATTTAATGAGATGAACATTTGAATCCATAGACTGAATTCAGCAGATTGCCTTCACCCTGGTAGAGGTGGAGGTTGGCCTCATCCAGTCTCTTGAAGGCCTAACTAGAACAAAAAAGCCAGCTCTCCCCTGAGTAAAAGAGAATTTCTCCTCCCTGACTGCCTTCAAAATGGGACATTGGCTTTTTTCCTGCCTTTGGACTCAAACTGAAACATCACCTCTTTCTGGGTGTAGAGCCTGCCACCTTCACATTGGAACTATACCATCAGCTCTCCTTGGTCTCCAGCTTGCCAACTCACCCTGCAGTTCCTGGGACTTTCCCACCTGCATAATCATGTGATATTACATATATTATATATAAAATATACATATAACATGAGTAAATTAGTATATATATTATATATATACACATTATAATGCAACATATATATACTATATATACATTAGTATATTGTATATTTGCATCATACAATATCCAGAACATAAAAAGAATCCATTATTAAGTAAAAGATAAGCAGTCCAATAGAAAAACAAATAAAATAAATAAATAGATGATCCATGGAAGAGGAAACCTAAATGACCATTAAGCCATCTTTAGTAACAAGAGCAATGCCAATTAAACCAGGGTGAGATTCTATTTCCCATCCATCAGATTGACAAAAATTAACAAATGTAAAATGTATATATACATTATATATACTAATGTGCAACATATATACATTAGTATATATAAAACCAGAGTAAAAGAATATACTGCAGTTATAGATGTATATGTTAGTAGTATATATGTAGCACATATTAGTAGTATTATATATGTAGTATACATTAGTATATATAATGTATACATGTTGCACATTAGTATAGACAATTACATGTACAATATACATTAGTATATATAATGTATATATGTTATATTTGTTCTATTTGTTTTTTCCCTCTGTGAAACACTGACCAATCTCAGTGTATGTCCTCTGTACATACACTAAACACCCAGTAGCAGTTGGTTCTTCAGATACGAAAGGGGAATGGGAACGGCTACTTAAACTTCAATATTTCATTTCTATTATTTAAAAAGGCTGAAACAAACATAACAAAGTGCTAATGATAATCATTTCTGGGTTGTGGATTGACAGCTGTTGTTATATCATTCTTCATACTTTGCTCTATTTTTGAAATTTCTCCAAAAAGGAATAAACTGCCCTCTATACAAAATTCAGAAAGTAAAGTATAAATTACTTTTACAGAAAGTAAAAATTACTCAAGATTCCACAATTGTTGACATTTTGGCGTATATATTTCTAGACCTTTTCTTTACATATACATAGGGCATACCTGCATGTATATATACTCCCTCCACCTTATAAAAATAGCTGTTTTATAGCCTGCTTTTATCAATCAAGACTCTTAACAAGGCCAGGCATGGTGGCTCATGCCTGCAATCCCAACACTTTGGGAGGCCGAGATGGGAGGATTGCTTGAGCCCAGGAGTTCAAGACTAGCCTGGACAACATGGAGAAACCGTGTCTCTAAAAAATAATAATAATTTTAAAATAATAATTTTTAAAAAGTCTTAACAGACATCTTTCCACATCAATATTTTGAAACACTGAATAATGTTTTTCAGAGAATGGTTGAATTCTAATTTATTTAACCAATCTCTTATTTATAGCTATTTTAGTTGTTTATAGATTTGTTTGTTGGGTTTTTCTTTAACAAATATTATTGCAATGAAAATCCTCAAATATACACATTTTTATCTTTTTATTTCCTTAAGCATAGATTCCTAAAGTGAAATTACTTAATCAAAGAATAGCTATATTTTAATCACTTTTGAAACACACTGGCAAGCTACCCTCCCTTCCAGACAGGTTGTCCCAATTTATACTTTCCCACACCCTCGCCAACACCCAAAGCTAGACTTTTCAACACTATCTGGACCAACATCTCTGTGGCTTTTGTATTATCTCCAGGAAGCATCTAACTTCCTGGAATTCTTAATAAAATCTCAAATCTTTAACCAATAACATAGTTTTTGTTTGTACCAACACCAACCTGAAAAATCTTTAAAATACTAATTTATATTTTTAATATACATATGTCTCAAGAATGGATGGATGTGTATTGAGTAAATGTGTACTGAGTTAATTATATGTGTTCTCAGTGGTCCTAAGGTCCCATTTCTCCTTAGCCTATTGGAATTTCCTCTTGTTTAGGAGGAACATATTTTCATTTCAATCACTCTTGGAAGGCACCCAGAATTGCTAACCAAATTCTGGCTCCCTTTGAAATGAGGCCTGTATTTGTGGAGGTCACGGGACATACAGGTGTTCACATCATCCTCTGTGTAAGTTACCTGGCCTGGCTCCTGCCAGGGCTGTGCGCCAGTGACCACTGAGCCCCCAGACTAAAGGCAGGAGCTTGCCCCAGGAGTGGCGTTCCATGTTATTTATTCAAGGGACTCCGGATTTAGAAGCACTGGTTTCATTTGTAATTAGTTGGCCCTTCAACTGCTCAGAATCTCTTCCTTCTCTGGATAAGTTTTGCTCTCAATTTTCAACTTGTGAAGGATTCTGTTCAGACTGAGTGTCAAGCAGGTGACCTGTCTCTTCTTGCCCAGGTTGCAGAAACACAACGAGGCCGCGGTTTTATTGTATAAGGGTCAGTAGAATAGTTCAGAGTAGCAGGGAAAAAACACTCACTAGAATGAAACCGGGCACAAAGTCGAACGGTAATCACAGCATCTATTTAGAATGCTCAGTAGAGGTAAGAGTGTAGGACTTTTACTGGCAACTTCCGAGACAGTGACTTGGAAGCCAAGCTTTGGAAACAGAAGCACAGAGTAGAGCCCTGGGATGGAAGAGTGACACCAAAGAGACAGGCTTCTCATAAAAAAGAACGAGATGGTGTCCTCTGCTGGGACATGGATGGAGCTGGAGACCATTATCCTTAGCAAACTAGTGCAGGAACAGAAAACTGAATACTGCACGTTCTCACGTGTAAGTGGGAGGAAATGATGAGAACACATGGACACATAGAGGGGAACAACACACACTGGGGCCCTTTGGAGGACGAAGGGTGGGAAGAGGGAGAGGATCAAGAAAAACAACTAGTGGGTACTTGGCTTAATACCTGGGTGATGAAATAATCTGTACAACAAACCCCCATGACACAAGTTTACCTATGTAACAAACCTGCACTTGTACCCTGAACTTAAAAGTTAGAAAGAAAAAAAAGGAGAGGTTTCTAAAGGCAGGGACACCAAGTATGAGTGGGTGGCAGATGACGAGGGCTGAGAAACCCTGCGCTGTGACCTTAACCTGTTAGAACATATATATTATATATATATATATATAACCTGGTCTTACCCTGTTGCCAGGCTGGAGTGAGTGCCATGGCACAATCATAGCTCTCTGCAGCCTCAAACTCCGGAACTCAAGTGACCCTCCCACTTCAGCCTCCCAAGTAGCAGGGACTACAGGCCCACACAACCACATCTGGCTAAGTTTTTGTTGTTGTTGTATTTTGGAGGTTTTTTTTTCAGTTGCTTTCTCTGAACTTTTTGTAGAGACAGGGTCTTGCTATGTTGCCCAGGCTGGTCTCAAACTCCTGGCCTCACGTAATCCTTCCACCTTTGCCTCCCAAAGCCCTGGGATTACAGGCATGAGCCCTCAAGCCTGGCCAAGAATGTACTTCTTAAGTCCGCACATATTCATTAGTCAAGTGTTTATTGAGAACCTAGTATGGGCTGGGCACCGTGCCCAGTGCTGGAGAGAAAAGTCCTGGTTCTTTGATCAGCTTCCCGACCCAAAGTTCTGCTAAATAGTGTAACAGACATATGCCCAACTCTTCCAGGCAGGGGGTCAGCGAGAGAACTAGACAAGAAGCAGGGAAACCCACAGCCTCTCTGCATCGGTACGTCCAGTTACCCTCAAGGCTGTTGTGGCCACAGTTTCCTTATCTGAAAAATGAGAATTGTGCTAGTGGGTGCCCAAGGTCCCATCCAGTCCCAGTATCCCCTGCCTTGTAGCCATTCATTCCATGAACAGTAAATACCTGCCAGGTACCATGCTGGACTATTTTGGAAATCCAAGCTTGTGCCATAGGGGAAAAGAGAAACTGTAAAAGTCACTGACTCAATCAATTTTTTAAAAATGTACAAAGAAATAAGACTGGGCGTGGTGGCTCATGCTTGTAATCCCAGCACTTTGGGAGGCCGAGGCAGGCCGATCATCAGAGGTCAGGAGTTCAAGATCAGCCTGGCCAACATGGTGAAACCCCGTCTCTATTAAAAATACAAAAATTAGCTGGCCGTGGTGGCGGACGCCTATAATCCCAGTTACTCAGGACGCTGAAGCAGGAGAATCACTTGAACCCAGGAGGCAGAGGTTGCAGTGAGCCGAGATTGTGCCACTACACTCCAGTCTGGGCAACAAGACCGAAACTCTGTCTCAAAAAAAAAAAAAATATATATATATATATATATACACACACAGAAATAGGTGGTCTGTAGTGGAAGTTCAGATCAGTCCAGATGTTGCTCTGGAAGGCAGAAGGCTGCCTTTGCTTTTCTTCCCTCTCACTCCCTCTAACCATCGCATATTCTTTATAAAACCTGTGTGTGCACAGGCTTTGTGGTTAAGCAGAACACTCCCTGAAAGCTGGCTCCAAAATGCAGTAGCCACACTTTTTTTTTTTTTTTTTTTTTTTTGTCTGAGAACAGTGGAAGCACTTATCACTGTATCCACTACATGGAGACCTAACTACCTAAATATACCCATGCTGGACACTATGCCAACCTCATTAATATTCATGACCTGACCAAAGACCCAGGAGCTTTGAAGGAAAATCTGGGTGGTTGGTTTTAATCCTTCAAGAACTCAATTCACAGTTACTCTTAGCAGGAGCATGTAACTCATCAGGAAGCAAATGAAATGCACAGAATATATTTTATCATGTGGAGACGTGGAAAGTTTCTATATGTATATTTCTATACATATAATCTGATGTCAAAATTGTGTCATGATTCAAAAAACCATATTGCTCTAGAAATGAGATGAGCTGTCTATAGTGGAATTCTTTTTAGTTTTTATTTTTTAACTAATAGAGAAGTATTTTTAATGAATTATAAGAAAACCATAGTTTATTTGTAAAGAGAGTTGTAAGGATCTTTTATCTGCTCCAATCAGGAGACCAATTGATGAGATATTTTTGTTATAACTAAACTGTTATACTGATGGTACATTTGGGTATTGCAAATGATTAAGGTACATAACTATGTACTTTATAATGGAGGCTACCTTCTAATGTATAATGGAGGCTACCTTCTAATTAGATGAAGTAAAAAAGATGAGATGTGGGGGGGTGGGGAATACATATATTTTCTCAGAGTTAGATTGCTGTTCAAAAATATTAAAATTCATGAGGTTTAGCATGCATTTATTCTGTTTTACTTTTAAAAACTTGTTTATTAAAAAGTACACTAACCAAAAGTGATGTTAGTGAATTATCACACGGTGCTCACATCTGTGTAACCACCTTCCGGGTCAAGAAATGGAACATTATCAATACCCAAGAAGTCCCCTTCTAGCCCCCTCTATCGTTGTCTGTTCTCCTCTCCCCAAAGGCAACCACTATTCTCACCTCTAATGACAAAGGTTTCTTTTAACATCATATAATGGAATGATATAATATGTATTCTGTTTCATACGACTTCCTTTATTCAACATGATGTTTTGGAAATTCAGTCAGTGTGCTATGCGCAGCTGCATTTCATTCACTTGATTGCTGTGTAATATTCCATCGTATGACTATACCACAATTTATTCATTGATTCTACTATTCAGAGAGATTCGGCTTTAGTTACAGTCGGAGGTTGTTACAAATTGTGCTGGTATGAACATTCTGGCACATGTCTTCTGGTGCGTATCTCTGCATGGATTTCTGTTGGGTGGATACCCAGGAATGAAATTGCTGGGTCATAGGTTATACGAATGTTCAATTTTGAGAAATAATGCCAAATAGTTTTACAAAGTGGTTGTACAGCTTCATTTATTCTTGGCAGCCACTCTTTCTATTTCTGGCAAGGGAAAGTCGAGTGAGTAGGATTTTTAATGTCTTACAGGTTTCTTGGAACAAGTATCTTTTTACAAACACCATTTGAATGAGTAAGTTTAAAATACTATAATTAGGGGTTTCGAGATTAAATTACTTTCTAAACGACAGACTTTTTAAAAAAAAGAAGTGCAAAAGTGCTTGGGGCAAAATACATTGGGGATTTCCTTGTTGCCAAAATAGCTGAAAAGGAATTCCAGATGCTAAGCTCAAATAATTCACAGCTGGGCTGGACAACCTCTGACTTTCTTGTGTCATGGGGATTTCAATAAAACAAAATACTGAGAGAAGCTAGACTCACCACTATCAAGCAATGTCACTCACTGGAGCTTAAGTAAATAAGCAAACATTTTTAATATAACCACAGTTCCCATAGTTCCACCAAGAAGTAGGACAGGTTTGAAGATTAAAAAAAAAAATAAAAAGTAAACCTCCACAGTATCTAAGGTTGGAAGCTTCCTTCTTCTTGATATGAAACAAGCAATCGTAGTTGGAAATAGAGTGGGTAAGGTTTCCAAAGGATACTAAAATACCCACTGGGGCTGTTCCCTCCTCCACCAGAAACTTGATTTTTCCGTGTACGGCTGTATTTCTCACCCCTGTAAAGCTTTGAATTTATTCTCTGACAAGATCGCGAGAGAATGGGCTCACCAGCGCCCCTTGGGTTACTTAACCTATTTCTTGCCAAGTTTAGTAAGGTCCCATGGTTAAGATACTTTTTTGTATGTACAAGTACAAAGTTAAACAGCCAGTTAAGAAAATTATCCTGATACCTCACATTAAAAACGGTTTTTAAGAGTCGTGATTAAAAGCGATAAAGTGTATTCACTCAGTGGGATACTAAGTAGCAATGAGAACGAATTAACTACAACTACTAGAGATGATAGACAAATCTCACAATCAGTGAAAGAAGCCAAACACAAAAGAGTTCATACTGTGTGATTTCATTTATAGGAAACCAATTTATGGCGACATGGGTCAGAATCACATGCGAAACACAGGGCTGATTGGGAGGAGTTTTGAGCTTCCCTTCTGGGGTGCTAGTCGTGTTTTTTTCATCTGGATTATTAGTCACACGGGCGTATTTACTTTGTAATAGTTTGCCAAGGTGTGATGATTGGTGCACTTTTCTGTTACATACATACGTATTTTAGACAATCTCCCTCTGTCCTCCAGGGTGGAGTACAATGGTGCGATCTCGGCTCTCTGCAATCTCCATCTCCCAGCGTGTCCGGAATTAATGGGTTCTTGGTCTCACCGACTTCAAGAATGAAACTGCAGACTCTCGCGGTGTTAGAATTTTTGAAGTCGGTGTGTCTGGAGTTTTTTTCTGGTGGGTTTGTGATCAGGAGTGAAGCTGCAGACCTCTAAAGTATTACAGCTCTTAAGGCGGTACATCTGGAGTTAGCCCTTCCTCTCAGTGAGTTAGTGGTCTCGCTGGCTTCAGAAGTGAAGCTACAGACCTTCATGGTGAGTGTTAAAGATCATAAAGACAGTGTAGACCCAAAGAATGAGCAATAACAAGATTTATTGCAAAAAGCAAAAGAACAAAGCTTCCACAGGGTGGAAGCACACCAGAGCAGGTTACCGCTGCTGGCTCTGGCAGCCTGCTTTTATTCTCTTATCTGGCTCCACCCACATCCTGCTGATTGGTCCATTTTACAGAGAGCTGAGTGGTCTGTTTTAACAGGGTGCTGATTGGTGCATTTACAATCCCTGAGCTAGACACAAAAGTTCTTCATGTCTCCACTAGATTAGCTAGAGTATCCACACAAAGGTTCTCCAAGGCCCCACCAGAGTAGCTAGATACAGAGTGTTGATTGTTGCCTTCACAAACCCTGAGCTAGACACAAGGTGCTGATTGGTGTGTTTACAAACCTTGAGCTAGATACAGAGTGCCTATTGGTGTATTTACAATCCCTTAGCTAGAGGTAAAGGTTCTCCAAATCCCCACCAGATTCAGGAGCCCAGCTGGCTTCACCTAGTGGATCCCCCACCAGGGTCGCAGGTGGAGCTGCCTGCCAGTCGCCCACCCTGCGCCCACACTCCTCAGCCCTTAGGTGGTCGATGGGACTGGGCGCCACGGAGCAGGGGGCGGCGCTCGTCAGGGAAGCTCGGGCCGCACAAGAGCCCACGGAGTGGCGGGAGGCTCAGGCATGGCGGGCTGCAGGTCCTGAGCCCTGCCCTGTGGGGAGGCAGCTAAGGCCCGGGGAGAAATCCAGCGCAGCGCCAGTGGGCCGGCACTACTGGGCGACCCAGTACACCCTCCGCAGCCGCTGGCCCAGGTGCTAAACCCCTCACTGCCCGGGGCTTGCGGGCGGGCCGCTCCAAGTGCGGGGCCCGCTGAGCCCACGCCCACCCGGAACTCGCGCCGACCCGCAAGCACCGCGCGCAACCCCGGTTCCCGCTCGCGCCTCTCCGTCCACGCCTCCCAGCAAGCTGAGGGAGCCGGCTCCGGCCTTGGCCAGCCCAGAAAGGGGCTACCACAGTGTAGCGGTGGGCTGAAGGGCTCCTCAAGTGCCGCCAAAGTGGGAGCCCAGGCAGAGAAGGCGCCGAGCGAGCGAGGGCTGTGAGGACTGCCAGCACGCTGTCACCTCTCAACAGATTGAAGCGATTTTCCTGCCTCAGCCTCCTGAGTAGCTAATTTTTGTATTTTTAGTAGAAACCGAGTTTCGCCATGTTAGCCAGGCTGGTCTCCAACTCCTGACCTCAGGTGATTTGCCTGCCTCGGCCTCTCAAGGTGCTGGGATTATAGGTGTGAACCACTGTGCCCGGACAGACTAGTATTCTAAAAAAATAAGATTGCTGTTTAGAGGAAGTGTGGTCTATTAGCATGATTTTTTTTCCCAACAGTCTAGTAGCTTAAGATATTAAATAGCTCATTCCTTGCTCAGGAGCACAAAGCCTCCTCAGATCTTTAGCAAGAATGGTTACCGTTTTATGGCATAACAACTGTATATTATGCTTTGTGTTAGGTCCAACACATAAATTGACTCCAGTCCTTACAACAGACACTCAAATTAGCTGACGCTGTCCCTAGCTCTCAAATAAAAAAATAAAGTTGAGAGATGTTTAACCTTTGCCCAGAGCTAGGCAGCTAGCCAGCATCTGCTCCAAAGCCCAGGCTCCTTCCTGAAGTCCTAGAGGGACAAATTCCACTGTGAGGGCTCAGCGCTCTTTATTTCCGACTGCGAGGAACCTCCTGCACAAGCTCAACATCCAGGGCCATCTTGAAGGGAGCTGAACTCAGAAGGCCAAGCATGCGATGGCAATGTCTCATCTGATGACCAGTGGGGCAAAGGCTGCCTGCCTTACTGGTGCTGCAGAGACCTTAGGTCTCCCTCTCTCTCCCAGGCTGGAGTATAGTGGCGTGATCTTGAGAGGTGACAACGTGCTAACAGCCCTCACTCGCTCTCAGTGCCTTCTCGGCCTCGGCGTCCACTCTGGCAGCGCTCGAGGAGCCCTTCAGCCCACCGCTGCGCTGTGGGCGCTCCTCTCTGGGGCTAGCCGACACCGGATCCGGCTCCCTTTGCTTGGGAGGAGGTATGGAGAGAGAGACGCCAGCGGGAACCGCGGCTGCGGGCGGCGCTTGTGAGCCGGCACCTACTGGGTTTGATCAGAGGCTGGGTCCTGCGTGGATCTCCGTTCTCTCTTCACGGGGTCGCTAGCCACAATGGAGAGTCTCCGTCTGTTTCTCCTTTCTTTTCTTTCCCTCTTGGTTGTCTGGGACGAGCTCTCAGCTGCTGGAGTGCCTGGACTAGGTGCCGCAAAGCTCCCTGGTGAGTACCAAAAAAAAGTGAAGCCAGCTGGGTTGGGATGGGTGGGGACACGAAGAATTTTTCAGTGTAGCTAAAGGATTGTAAATGCACCAATCAGCACTCTGTGTCTAGCTAAAGGTTTGTAAACTCACCAATCAGTGCTCTGTGTCTAGCTAATCGGGTGAAGACTTGGAGAACTTTTGTGTCTAGCTAAAGGATTGTAAACGCACCAGTCAGCACTCTGGGTGTAGCTAAAGGTTTGTAAACACACCAATCAGCACTCTGTTAAAAATGGACCAATCGGCTCTCTGTAAAACAGACCAATCAGCTCTCTGTAAAATGGACCAATGAGCAGGATATGGGTGGGGCCAGATAAGGGAATAAAAGCAGGCCACCCGACTCTAGGATGGGAAAAACCACTGGGATACTGTTAGGCGGGTGGTGGAGGTTTCATCGTGTTGGTTTATTGTGTTTTTGGTCCGTGAGATTTGCGAGTTGTAACGTTTACTGGAAAGGTTTGTGGCTTGGGTTTTAAAGCTAGAAGATTATGAATTTGCTGGGAGAGAAAAAACTTTGGGCAGGTGGGCGTCAACAATTTAGGGTACGTCCATTTTCGAGTTGAAGCAATCACTGTGGAGGTCTGTAGCTTCACTCATGGAGGCTAGAACAGACTACAAACCCCCTGGGAAAAATAAACTTCACACGTGACACTTTCAAGGGTTGTACCACCGTGGAGATTTGTAGTTAAGTGATTACATGAACTTACCAGAAAGGAAAAAGTCTAGGCACACCATCGTTTAGAACTGTAACTCTCACCATGAGGGTCTGTGGCTTCATTCTTTAAGTCGACAGGACCGAGAACCTGCTAATTCCAGACACGATCTGGGCGTGCTGCTGTTCTCTTCTTAGTTTAAGCAATTATCTGCCTCAGTAAGTAGCTGGGTTTAGAGGCATGTGTCACCACAACTGGCTGGCTTTTGTATCTGTGGTAGAGATGGGGTTTGACCATGTTAGCTAAGCTGGTCTTGAACTCCTGACCTCAAGTGATCCACTCAACTCGGGCTTCTGAGTTATGACTACAGGCATGAGCCACTGCCTAGCCACTCCCCCCTCTTTTCTTTCACATCTAGTGGTGTATTTCTTTCCTCATTAGCTAAGGAGAGGCCTTTGGGCTCACCACAGCTGCTGGGCAAAGGGAAGTAGGCAGAGAGCGATTCGCTATGCAGAGTGGGTCAGTGAAGAGGCCACATTAGACCATGTCCATTCATAGAGGCAACTTCAACTCAGGACTACTCTAGCAATTGGATTCTGGTGAACCACAACCCTCTACCCAGGTGCTGTCCTCACATCCTAGAGCAACTTGTTCTCTCCAAACCAAACACACCACGTCTTTCAAGAAGCCTTCCCGGCTACACAAGGCCCCAGGGCGCTCACTGGCGTTTTAGGGAGTCCCTTCCACATATACAATTCAATTTAATCTTTACCAGGTGCCAGTAAGTGCTGTGCGCTTTCTTCAGAGGAGGAAACCGAAATTTGGAGAGGTCGAGTGGTTCACAGAAGGCTAAAACAGAGATTGAAAGTCGGGTTTTGTTTTGTACCCATCCCGTGGCCCTATGACCTAACTCTCCCTTCTCTTACCCCCGCAGCTCCCTGTGTGACTGTATCTTTGAATTGTCATAAAATCCTGTAATCATTGATTTGCATGACTCTCTGACTAGATGGTGAAAATTGGAAGCGTCTCCTTTGATTTTATATCCCAATCCTTAAAGTCCTTGATAAATAGCACATGCTAGAAAAGGCTCCTGAAAGAACAAAAGGAAGAGCCATACCTATAATCCTGCATCTCTCTTAGCTGAACGTTAGGGACCATGCGATCTCTCCTGCCCTCCGTTTCTATATTTGTAAAAAGCATAGAAAAATGCTTCCCATTTCATGAGGCTGTTGTCTTAGTCCATGTTGCTATGAAAAAAATACCATAGACTGGGTGCTTTAACAAACGTTTATTTCTCACGGTTCTGGAGACTGAAAGACCAAGATCAAGGTGCTGGCAGATTTGATGTCTGGTGAGGGCTCTCTTCCTGGTCTGAGGATGGCCACCTTTTTGCCAAATCTTCACAGAGGAGAGAGAATGTTCTAGTGTCTCTTTGTCTTCTTAATCCTATGATGGGGGCTCCACTCTCATGACCTAATGTAAACCTAATGACCTCCCAAAGACCTCATTTCCAAATACTATCATATTGGGAGTAGGGCTTCAATATATGAATTTGGAGGGGAACACACAGTTGTTATAAAAATTAAATGGATTAAAATATGTTAAGCACTGGAGCAATACCTGGTACACGGTGAAATTAGCCAAGTCACCTCAGCAGCTTACAGGCAAAGCCCCTGTGGGAATACAAAGGAAAGAATTCTCCCCTTTCTTGGATGCACACTGGACGTCAGATGCTGTGATTTACATGTGATCACCACTCGAACACTGTGTAGTAGTACCACTGTGGTATTACCAGTTCTATTACCTGTGTTTTATGGATGAGAAAGCAGAGGCTTCTAGAGGTGAGGAGACTCACCCAAAGCCACCCAGCTAATCAGTTGTGCAGCTGGGATGTGAACCCAGCTGTGTCTGCCTTCGAGCCCCGTGCTCTTAAACAACGGGCCCTAGGAAGGCTGACTAGGGGCACTGGGGATGGCTTCAAGGGTGAGAGAGTATTTGAGACAAATTTTGAAAATGAGTAAAAATTTTTAAGAGTGGAAATGTCTGCAGCCCTGATTTGGGCCCTTGATGTTCAGTACTGTGGTTTGGGCTCATTGCTTTGGCTGTGTCAGGGTTTCTCAGCCTCAACGCTTCACATTTGTCATGGAGGGCTGTCCTGCAGATCGCAGGATGTTTAACAGCATCCTTGGCCTCTACCCCCAGGCGCCAGTGGCATGCCACCCCTGCCACCAAAAATGTCTCCAAATTTTCCTCCTATGTGGGGCAGAACCCCCCGTGGCTGAGAACCACGGGGCTGTGTGTATATGTGGTCTCTAGAGCTCAGTTGTCAGCAGCAGGAAGCCCAGGAGTATAATGTGCCTTTTTGTTTTCTCCAAATTGGCTAATAACCCAATTCCAGAAACAGACATTGCTCCATTAAATACTTGTTGAAATGGATTAAGTTGTCATCATAGCCACCTCACACCTTTTAAAGTACCTCCTGTTTGTCCTTCAGCTCTCACCTCCAAGGTGCCCTCTTTAGAGATGCTTTCCCCAAATATGGACTGGCCAGGCACTCTTTTGTTACCTTCAGTGAAGAAGTGCTGCTGTATTATCTAGTTAGTTCCTCAAGCGCCAGGGCATGGTAGTGGAGTGGCACGCTTAGATAAGCCCTATACAGTATTCTAATTAAGGAAATGAAGGCTCAAGAGCCAATGCAGTATGTTCAAGATCACACAATAAATAAGGGACAGACTAAAGCCCAAGTCACATGATAGTGGAGGAATCCCCTGGAGGGACAGGAGAGAGGATGCTGAGCAGAGCATCGAGTGGGTTGACATTTGGGGCAGGGTGTCTGTCACAGAAGAACACTGGATTTAAGGTGGGAACTCTATCAGAAACCAGGGGCCAACATGGCAGAGGTAAGAGTAATGAGCATGATACCCCAAGAACACACTCGATCCCAACCTCAGCACAGGACTAACTAGGATGAAGGATTACACCCCATGGATAAGCCAGCTGGTGGGTCTGAGGATGCTAATGAACTTCTAGCCCAGGCTTAAGGGGTGCTGAGCTACAGGAGAGGAAAAGAGAATCTGGGTGAGGCTGAATTTGCCCCTTATGTGGGCCCCCATGAGCTGGTTTCCCAGTGTGCCACAGTCACTGGCCTCACTTGGGCAGACGTCAGTCATTCATTCAGGTACTCACATGGGTAATGGGCACCTACGGTCATCCTAGGTTCTATGATAGGCACAGAAGATAAAAGGTGCACACAACAGAGGGGGTCCCTATCTCTCAACCCTAATCTAATTATCACACAAATAAATGTTTAATTATGAACTGTGACAGGTGGTGGGAAGGAAAGGCATAGCATGCCATGAGAACGTGGAACATTGCCTAGTCTGAGGGTAGGGGAAGTTTTCCCCAAGAAGGGGTAATTGAGTCAAGACCTGGAGAGTGACCGGGAGGTGGCTGTGTTAGAGTGTATGTTGTAGGTGGCCGTGGATGGCTCCAGGCCAAAGCGTGCAAAGACTGAGGCAGAACCGAATGCAGGGCCACAGCACACACAGTTAGTCAACATGTTGGAAACAGAAAACAAAGCTAATGCTCCATCCATTGTTCTAAATGGTGACAGCACCCTCTCCTAAAAGGACCAAAATAATGTACTACCTTAAAAAGAGAGGCAGGCTGCCTTCATAGACAGGACTTCCCCAGGACGGTGGAATCTTGGTGGGGTTGTCAGTCCAGAGTTTGATTTGAGAACGTCCAAAAATCCAGTTTTTCCAGTTCATCTGATCAGTTAGATTCAGAGGATTGACTCACACTGACCAAAGTCACAGAAAACAGATGTATAAATCAAAATGCCTATGTATAGTTTTGACACAGGAAATACGACTGCCTAGCAGATTGAAATATTCAGGTCTGTTGGTGAATGCATTCCTTTCCCTATGAAGCAATCTGTAGGGGAATGCAAATGATGATCAAAAGGTTAATGTGTGAGTAAAGAATTGGAACAAGGGCTACTGGTCAAATAATCCAGCTATGGTCATTTTGATGTACCATTCTCCACTAGAGGTAAGCATATGTCTGAACCCCAAATCAGAACACACGGCTTGACAAACAAATTTAGCCTGATTTATGAGTGTCATTCATGCATTTAACTGTCATTATTGGGCCTTTTCTAACAAGTATAAATAATTAATATTTTGTTATATATTGAATAAACCACTATTATTAGAAAGAGTAAAATAACATGAAAAACACAATGTTCAGCAAAATATATATTTAATATTTGTGCCATCATTTGTATCCAACATTTATCTGTCCAAGTTGATACTTTGATTTTCTTTTAGTACTTATTTTCTAGCAGTGCTCAGTTTTCTCAATTATTATTTCTTTATTTCTTCTCTCTCTCTTTTTTTTTCTTTCTTTTTTTTTATTTTATTAGATGGAGTTTCACTCTTGTTGCCCAGGTCGGAGCGCAATGGCGCAATCTCAGCTCACTGCAACCTCCGCCTCCCGGGTTCAAGCAATTCTCTTGCCTCAGCCTCCTGAGTAGCTGGGATTACAGGCATGCACCTCCACCCAGCTAATTTTGTATTTTTAGTAGAAATGGGGTTTTTCCATGTTGGTCAGACTGGTCTCGAACTCCTGACCTCAGGTGATCCGCCCACCTTGGCCTCCCAAAGTTCTGGGATTGCAGGTGTGAGCCACCATGACTGGCCCTCTTCTCTTAGTAAAATGAAAAAACGCTTAAGAAGTCTTTGATTGGGCACTGTGGCTCATGCCTGTAATCCTAGCACTTTGGGAGGCAGAGGCAGGAGGATTACTTGAGTCCAGGAGTTTGAGGCCAGCCTCGGCAACACATCGAGAACCTATCTCTACAAAAAATAAAGAATTAGCCAAGCATGGTGGCACACTCCTGTATCCCAGCTACCTCGGGAGGCTGAGGCAAGAGGATCACTTGAGCTCCGGAGTTCAAGGCTGCAGTGTGCCATGATTGCAGCACTGCACTCAGCCTGAGCAACAGAGTAAGACCCTGAATAAAAAAAGAAAAGTCGGCCCGGTGCGGTGGCTCATGCCTGTAATCCCAGCACTTTGGGAGGCCGAGAGGGCCGGATCACGAGGTCAGGAGATCAAGACCATCCTGGCTAACATGGTGAAACCCCATTTCCACTAAAAATACAAAAAATTAGCCGGAAGTGGTGGTGGGCGCCTGTAGTCCCAGCCACTTGGGAAGCTGAGGCAGGAGAATGGCGTGAATCCGGGAGGCAGAGCTTGCAGTGAGCCGAGATTGTGCGACTGCACTCCAGCCTGGGCAACAGGGTGAGACTCCGTCTCAAAAAAAAAAAAATTTTTTTTTGAGCAATTTACTAAGTTTCAAAGAGCTATTTACAGTTTCACTGGTGATGGAAGACATTTGCAATCCTCAGCACTGTCCATCAGACCTAGAAGCAATGACAATTCAGCAGCAATGAGCAACTCTAGCACCAGATATGATTTCTAAATACTACTTCTTACTAAAAAGACACCAGGGACCCTTGGGAAAACATCTGAGTCATGATCTGGGACAGGAGTTTTTCGATATAAGGCTAGAACATCTTATTGTGCCCCAAAGCAAAGGCACTGTGAAAGAATCCTGGGATGATGGCAAAAGAATGCAGAGGCTAACTTGAAGGGGTTCTCTCTGGCCATAGTTGAGTCAGTTTTATGGAAAAAGATAATAGAGTGAAACCATCAAGTATCTAAAAATCCAATAGTTCACATAATGATAATTTAAAAACAAATCCATGGTCACCTATGGAGATTGTAAGGGCACCAACTGCTGACAGGCTGATAAATAAAAGGAAAGGATTTTATCCTGCCTTTTTCTGTATAAACTGTATTTCAGTATAACTGAGTAGTTGATATGAGAAATTTCTTCTTTATAGAAGGATCACAGCTAAGAAAAAGAAATGACAGAACTAGAAAATTATCATTTTCAAGTCCTTATTGAATTAATGGATTCTGGCAATGAACTGCAATGGCTGCAAAAACCATTAGATAATAGGTTGATGAGGATCTTTATTATGGATGGATCAGGCTGAGAACACCTAGCACTAACCCATCAGCTTAAACCTGTAAAGGTAGAAAAATCAGACATCATATTTTTCCTGATATGTTACAATCAGAATGAATACCAAACCACCTTTAAGTCTTACCAAAATGAACCTAAATCAAACCAAGGTCTATCTATCTGTTCATAAGAAATACAGGGATAGAGAAACAAGTTAAATGACACCAGGAGAATACAACCAGTGAAATCTGGAATGTGGGAATTTCTGTAGGACAAGTGACCCAGTTTCTCTGATGAATGAATGGCATAAAAAGGGCGTGATAGTGGGGGAATGTAAAAGACTTAAGAAGCATATTGTATTGGTTTGGCTGCCATAATAAAATACAACAGACTGGGTGGCTTAAACAACAACAATTTATTTCTCACAGTTCTGGAGACTAGAAGTCTGAGCTCAATGTGACAGCAGGGTTGGGTTCAGGTGAGGGCTCTCCTTCTGGCTTATAGACGGCTGCCTTCTCATGTGTGCTCACATGGCCTTTCCTCAGCGCATGCTCGTGGACAGAGCAAGATCTCTCTCTCTTCCTCTTATAAGGCCACCAATCCTATGGGATTAAGACCCTTATGACCTCATTTTGACCTTAATTGCCTTCTAAAAGCCCTATCTCCAAATATAGTCATGTTAGAGGTTAGGACTTCAACATATGAATTTAGCGGGGACACAATTCAGTCCATAGCATGTATCAGCCATATGCCATGTATGGACCTTGTTTGAATCCCACTTGTAAGAAACCAACTGTAAAAAGACATTTATGGGACAATCAGGGAAATTGTCTTTGTTGTTGTTGTTGTTTGAGATAGGCTCTCATCTGTCACCCAGGCTGGAGGGTAGTGGTGTAATCATGGCTCACAGCAGTCTCAAACTCCTGGGCTCAAGTGATCCTCCTACCTCACCCTCCCAAGTTGCTGGAATTATAGGTACACACCATCAGTCCTGGCTAATTTCTTTTTTTTTTTTCTTTGTAGAAAGGCGTTCTCCCTGTGTTGCCAAGGCTAGTCTAAAACTCTTGGGCTCAAGTGATTCTCCTGCCTTAGCCTCCCAAAGTGCTGGTATTACAGGTGTGAGCCACTACACCTAGCCTCATCAGGGAAATGGTAACATCACCTATTGGATACTAGATGATAGTAAGGAATCATTAATTTTTTGTAGATCTAACAAAGATGTGGTTGCTTTCTTAAAATTCCTTATCTCTTAGAGATACATACAGAAGTATTTACCTTTGAAATTATATAAAGCCTGGGATTTGTTTTAAAATGACATATTAGCGGTAGGAGTAGAGGTTGGAAAGGAGATATAGATGAAACTAGATCATCCATCTATCAATAACTATTGAAGGCCAGGCACTGTGGCTTACATCTCTAATCCTATCACTTTGGGAGGCCGAGGTGGGAGGATCACTTGAGCCCAGGAGTTCGAGACCAGCCTGGTCAACAAAGTGATATCCAATCTCTAAAAAATATATATATAAAAAATTAGCTGGGCATGGTGGCTCACACCTGTAGTCCCAGCTACTTGGGAGGCTGAGCTGGGAGGATTGCTTGAGCCCTGGGAAGTCAAGGCTGCAGTGAGCTGTGATTGCACCACTGCACTCTAGCCTGGGCAACAGAATGAGAACCTGTCTCAAAAAAACAAAACAAAACAAAACAAAAAAAAACAATGAATTTCTATGTGCACCAGAAGACTAAGGCCACCTTTCCTTGCCTAACACAGCCATGGCTTATGGTCCCAAGAAGCATCTAAAGCAGGTAGCAGCTCCAAAGCATTGGATGCTGGATAAATTGACCAGTGTGTTTGCTCTTCGTCCATCCACCAGTCCCCACAAGTTGAGAGAGTGTCTCCCCCTCATCACTTTCCTAAGGAACAGACTTAAGTATGTCCTGACAGGAGATGAAGAAGAGTTGCATGCAGCAGTTCATTAAGATCGATGGCAAGGTCCGAACTGACAAAACCTACCCTGCTGGATTCATGGATGTCATCAGCATTGACAAGATGGGAGAGAATTTTTGTCTGATCTATGACACCAAGGGTCACTTTGCTGTACATTGTATTACACCTGAGGAAGCCAAGTACAAGTTGTGCAAAGTGAGAAAAATCTTTGTGGGCACAAAAGGAATCCCTCATGTGGTGACTCATGATGCTCACACCATCTGCTACCCTGATCCCCTCATCAAGGTGAATGATACCATTCGTATTGATTTGGAGACTGGCAAGATTACTTGATTTCATCAAGTTACACTGGTAACCTGTGTATGGTGACTGAAGGTGCTAACCTGTGAAGAATTGGTGTGATCACCAACAGAGAGAGGCACCCTGGATCTTTTGACGTGTTTCACATGAAAGATGCCAATGGCCACAGCTTTGCCACTCAACTTTCCAACATTTTTGTTATTGGCAAGGGCAACAAACCATGGATTTCTCTTCCCTGAGGAAAGGGTATCCGCCTCACCATTGCTGAAGAGAGAGACAAGAGACTGGTGGCCAAACAGAGCACTGGGTGAAATGGTCCCTGCGTGACATGTCAGATCTTTGTACGTAATTAAAAATAATGTGGCATGATTAATAGAAAAAAAAACAATTGAAACTGGGTTATGGGCACTTGGGGCTCTACTTCACTATTCTCTCTACATTTGTATATGTTTGAAATTTTTCATTATAGTAAAAAATCTTTTTAATGCAAGAAGGAGTGGAAGGGAGAAATACTCAAGAAGTATTTCGACCATACACAATGTATAGCTCTTGTTAAACCCCAATTAAAGCACACCAATTGATAAAAAGACTTTTTGAACAAATGTAACAAATTGACCGTGATCTGTGTTGGATGATATTATAAGTTACTGTTAATTTTGTTAGGTATAATTGTGCATGGGTCTTTTTTTTTTTTTTTGAGGCCCTGTCTGTTAGAGATACGTATCAAAGCATTTAAAAGCATTTATATATGCTGGGATTTGCTTTAAAATACTGGAAAACACACACACACACACACACACACACACACACACCCCGAAACAAGGAGGATAGATGAAACGTGATTGGCAGAATGTTGATAATTGTTAAAATTGGTCAACAGATTGGTGGAGTTTCATTACATTATCATCTGAAATTTTCTATCATAAACCACTTAAAATAAATATTCATGAGACCATCATGTTCCAACCCAACAATGACAGGAAGAATTCATACATCCTCTTCCAAGTATCCTTGGAAGATTAATGTTTTCATGATAAAAATTTTAAAATACTTTTGTACAGCTCTGATTCGTAGCTTCCTTTTTCCTAGTCAGCAAGCAATTTCGCATTAGGATATGACTCAAGGACATACGGTTCATTGCAATGATCATCAAATCACATAGTGGGAAGAACACTGTAAAAAAAAAAAAAAATTCCCTTCCTACGGCAGAGTGTGCCATTCAGTTTTCTGCAACTGAAACCCTGTTTTGAGATTTGCCTTCCAAAGACCTTGATAGTGTACCACATTGTCATATGCATCCTGTAACAAAAGAGAAAAATATATTGGGCCAGGCACGGTGGCTCATGCCTGTAATCCCAACACTTTAGGAGGCCGAGGAGGGTGGATCACCTGAGGTAGGAGGTCAGGAGTTCGAGACTAGCCTGACCAACATGGTGAAATCCCGTCTCTACTAAAAATACAAAAAAATTAGCCAGGCATGGTGGCACATGCCTGTAATCCCAGCTACTTGGGAGGCTGAGGCAGGAGAATCACTTGAACCTGGGAGGCAGAGGTTGCAGTGAGCCGAGATTGTGCCATTGCACTCCAGCCTGGGCAACAAGAGTGAATCTCCATCTAAAAAAACAAAACGAAACAAACAAAAAAAATCTATCTATCTATATCTATCTATCATCTATCTATCTATCTGTATATAAAACGACCAGAACCAAAGTTGTTATTTTGGATCTTTGATTTTTTTTTCCTTGAGAATAATGGAAGCCTTTTTATCTAATAATAAATGCACTCTTGAAGGTTGAAGCATTTTAATTATTTTTAATTATTTATTTTCATTATTTTAAGCATAGGCATTTTCAGGAATCTCATAGTCCATATGGAAATATGCAAATGAAAAAATCATTTAAAAATTTCACTCCAGCCAGGGCTGGGTCAGAGAGCATGTTGAAGTGGACAGAAAGAGTCGCTCATCTGCCTGGTGCCCCTGATAATTCATAGGTGGTGCTCAGTGGGCTTGAAAGACGGGACTAAGCAGAATTGTTTCTAAGTGGAAGTGGGAATCAGGGTGCGTGAATTTTTTGGTAGAGAACCTCTGGGCTCCCTGATTTAACATTTCAGTCCGCTATTCCACTCCTCCAACTGCCTTCTGTTCTGAGAGGTGTGGGCTGAGCCCGGCGAGAGCCCAGGTCCCATGTCAACTCATCTGGGCTGCAGGAAAAGGCTGCCTGTGCTCTGGGCCCTCCAGACTTGACAGCTGCGACCCTGAGCCGGTGTTTGACAAACAGACCAGGCAGATGCCACACAGTGCCCTGCAGTGTCTCTACCAAGTGACACAAAAAACTAAACCATTCTAGGAAGGAGGAGCAGGTCAGTCAGTCAGCTTCTAAAAATACCCAAATAGGAGCATAGAAACATCCCATCACCCCATGTCAATCAAGAGAAAGTCACAGAAGAATATGTTTGCCAGAAAAAAAAAAAAAAAGGCAGCAGGAGCTGGTAGGAGAGCCCCGAGATGAAGAAAACTTGTATGAGGGTCATTTAAATGCTGGTAGGATGGCCTTTAGAGGCAGCTGCTTGGAGAGTCTCATAAATGGCCTTTGGGTAGTGGTAGCATTTGCATCAGGCCACAAGGCCCTGCCGCTAGCTGGCCAGGCTCAGGGAGGACTGCGGGCTCTGAGCGTGCTATGGGCCTCAGGCCATGCTGTGGAAAGTCAGCAAGATCACAGAGGAGCTGAGCCAGCAGGATTTTCCAGAAATCACCTAGGGCAAGAAGAACAGAGCAAATTATATGTGGGTGGTTGGAGCCCAGAACCGGAAACTGTAACAGCAAACTTTTTTCTGCACCTCTGTACCAAAAACAGCCGGAGATGTGGACAAGGACCACTTTTGGGAGTGGGGAGCACGATCTATTTAAGCAGCATCCCATATACTGGCTCCTGTAGAGGGAGGCCCACTTAAGAGGAAATGTAAACACAAACATCCTGGGACAGCCTTAGGTGCCCATGCAGTCTAGTGTCGCACTCCCAGGCTGGGCCCTTCAGATAAGCAGTGGTGGTCTCTGTAGCCCCTCAACTCTCCGTCCATTCCAGCCCAGTTGCACTGTCTCTTTTCTCATGGCTGAATATTCCAGTTTAGCCTGAAGTTGCCTCCTTACATAGTTTACATTCAGCTTAAAGGTGTCTCCATACACAGTGAACTGTAACCCAACTAGAGGTATAAACAGATTGTAAATTACTCTAGGAACAAGTAGTGGAGTCTCAGCCAATCACAACAAGCAGCCAGCTGTTCACACCATGTGCAAATAAGGCAGAAGCCAGGCGGTAACCAATCTGGCTGTTTCAGTAGTCACTGTCCCTTTCATTTTTCTGTCCCTAAATCCTCTCCAACCATGCGGAATTGCCAGTTTCTCTAAACCTTTTCTGATTTCGGAGGCTGCCCGATTTGCAAATCACTCTTTGCTTAATTAAACTCTATTAAATTCACCTTGTCTAAAGTTTTTCTTTTCTTTTTTTTTGAGACGGAGTCTTGCTCTGTTGCCCAGGCTGGAGTGCAGTGGCGCAATCTCTGCTCACTGCAACCTCCACCTCCTGGGCACGAGCGATTCTCCTGCCTCAGCCTCCTGAGTAGCTGGGATTACAGGTGCCCACCACCATGCCCGGCTAATGTGGTGGCTCACGTCTCTAACCCCAACACTTTGGGAGGCTGAGGTGGGTGGATCATTTGAGGTCAGGAGTTCAAAACCAGCCTGGCCAACATGGCGCAAGTTTTAACACAGGTCTTCCCCTGCCTTATCCTTCCTTGTCACCCAGGTTTCTAGACATGCCTGCCTCCTAGCCAGGGAGTGCTGGCCTCAGGCTTCTGAAGAGCATCATGCTTCCAGAAAGCTGAAAAATAAATTATACCTCCCTGACACATGCTCACTCCTCCTGCATCACCATGACAAATTCCCTCCAAAATCACCACACTGCCTTTTCTCTTCTCTTCCCCGGATAAAACTACATTCCCCATAATGATTAGACGAGAAACAAACACCCATTTTTCCTTTAGGAAACCCTCCTAACTTATGAACCAGAGCAAAGACCCATGCAGGACAAAAAGGAATCTTCTACAATGTGTAGATCAGATGATCTTCAGTTTGTACTTCATATTTGTGGTTTAGAATTTACAAAGACCAGCTAGGCATGGTGGCTCACACCTATAATTCCAGCACTTTGGGAGGCTGAGGCAGGCAGATCACTTGAGGACAGGGGTTCAACACCAGCCTGTCCAACATGGTGAAACCCCGTCTCTACTAAAAGTACAAAAATTAGCCAGGCGTGGTGGCGGATGCCTGTAATCCTAGCTACTCGGGAGGCTGAGGCAAGAGAATCACTTGAACCCAGTAAGCTGAGATCGTGCTACTGCACTCCAGCCTGGGCGTTGGAGTGAGACCCTGTCTCAAAACAAAACAAATATTTACAAAGACCTTTCCTACACATGATCACATTTTGGTCTGACAACCACTAAGTGAGACAAGCATTACTAATCCCATGTAGATGTTTAGACTCGAAGAGTTTAAGAGTTTAAGTAATAGTTCCAAGGTCACCCATCTACTCAATGGCAGAGCTGGGATTCTAACCTTATCATATAATTCTGAGTAAAACCCTTCCTCCAATAAAATAATAATAAGAACTACCTGTTTTGAGCATTTACTATGTGCCATGCCCTATGCTATGTACTTTACACACTTAAATTTAGTTAACCCTCAGGAAAACCCTATAAGATAAGGTTGTGCTATTATGATGCCCATCTTAGGGATGAGGAAAACTGAGGCACAAGGAGGTTAAGCAATTGCTGAGGTCATGCAGCCATACCACTCTATCCTATAGCTTCCTAAATTTTTGCTAGTCCTACTTCACTGCAAACCGCAAACTCAGGCTAGGAAACAAAATAATAAGCACCCCTATAGAAAATTTGGAAAGTACAGAGTCAACAGTTAAGACCCTGGCAAGAGGGGCTCATTTGCAAGCTCAGACCTAAAACAGCAAGCTGCAGGTGTTGGCTACTAAATCCGTGTAAACAGGCATCACCAACTTATTTTAAGCCTCAGTGAAAAGGTTAGTCACAGTATCAGCCAGAGCCGGGCAGGAAACAGATGGCACACTCCAAATTGCTTAACTGAAAAAAAAAAAAAAAATGTAATGAGGGGACTATTTACGGAAGTGCAGGCAGGATGAAAGGACTGACTCTACCAGGGGCGGTGTGGCACCAGGGGCGGTGTGGCACCAGAGAAAACAAACGCTGGGAGTGGTTACCCCCCTAGCACTGCAGGGGCAAAGGGACAGAATATGGTACCGCAGCCCAGTGACCGCCAGAGCTGGGAGAGGGACTGCTTCCCAGGAGCTGTGGGACAAAGCCACTGCCAGGGCGGCCTTCCTCCCTTCCATCCCCGCCAGGTGCCCCCATTAGCCAGGAATGCCCAGAAGCTGTCAGGCAAAGAGCTTTGGTGAAGCTGTCCCTAGAGATGCATCTCCTGGGCCACACAGTCAGGGTAGAGAGAGGTGGAGAATGAATGGGGATGACCCCTCTCATCCTGACCCTGCCCACACAAGGGCTTTAGCCAAAGCCACACAGCATTTGAGCACTAGTTGCTTCAGCACCAATGTGCTCTGGCTCATGTTTTCTCTAAAAATGCAACTGTGGGCCGGGTGTGGTGGCTCACACCTCTAATCCCAGCACTTTGGGAGGCCGAGGTGGGCGGATCACCTGAGGTGAGGAGTATGAAACCAGCCTGACCAACATGTAGAAACCCCATCTCTACTAAAAATACAAAATTAGCTGGGCGTGGTGGCACATGCCTGTAATTCCAGCTACTCAGAAGGCTGAATCACTTGAACCCGGGAAGCAGAGGTTGCGGTGAGCCAAGATCACGCCATTGCACTCCAGCCTGGGCAACAAGAGCAAAACTCCATCTCAAAAAAAAAAAAGCAACTGTGTTAAGCACACCAAACATTAAAAGGAGCACCAATATCTTTTCCCAGAGGCTGTGCCGTCTTCCCTTTCTTGTGGCATTCAATCAGTGACTGCAGGGCCTTACTGCCTGGCCTCATATATTAAACAGGACTTCCTTCTTGGTTCCTCCACTTTGATAAAGAATGGGTTGGTTCCTCAAAAAATAATCATAGGACTGCCATATGATCCAGCATTCCTACTTCTGGGTATATATCCACAAAAAGTGAAATCAGCGTGTGGAAGAGATATCTGTACCTTTGTGTTCGTTGCAGCATTAGTCACGCAGTAGCCAAGATGTAGAAACAATCTAAGTGCCTATTAGCAGAGGGATGGTTAAACAAAATGGGACACACACACATTATATATATATATATGTATATATGTACATATATACGTATATACATATATATACGTACATATATATGTACATATATATGTGTATATACGTGTATATGTACATATATACACGTATATATGTATTCTTCATTGATAAAAAGGAGGAAATCCTGTTATTTATAACATAGATGAGAACATTATGCTAAATGAAATAAGCCAGACACAGAAAGACAAATATTGCATGACCTCACTTATTTGTGGAATCTAAAAATGTCAAACTCATAGTAGAATGGGGTTTGGGGGGCTGGGAAGTCAGGGGAAATGGGGACATGGTCAAAGGATACAAACCTGAGTTGTAAGAGGAATCAGTTCTGAGGCTCTAATGCACAGCCTGGTGGTTATATTTAATAATCGTGTATTATATACTTGAAATTTGCTAAGAGAGCAAATGGAGTGTTTTCATCACACAAGAAACGAAACAGTAACTATATAAGGTGACATTTGTGTTGATTAACTTGATGCTAGTAGTCATTTCAGAATATATATTTATATCAAATTACCGTGTTGTATGCCTTTAATTTCTATTTTTTATTTGTCAATTATATTTCAATAAAGCCAAGGGAAAGAAATCCCCTCCCCCAAAAGAAAGATGAGTTGAAGCAAGATCTGAGAGCTGTATTTCTCTTCTGCATCTGTCTTTTTACTTTTAGCTTCTCTCACTTTTCTTTTTTTTAAAAAAATGTAATTCAAGAGGAAGGCAGCAACAAAGAGCAAATCAATTTCCAGCCTGGCTGTGCTTACACAGTCCTGGAGCAGACAGTGTGTAGTTGTCAATGTAGGCAGAGGTGACAACTTCTGCACCAACACCTCTGATAGGGAGTTGTGTCTGCCTGCCAAGCATTTAGAGTGGGAAAGGAGGAAAGGAGAGGGCGGGAAACGCACGCACAGCTCAGGCTGTCACCATGGAAGGGGGAGAGGAAGGGCTTTCTCCTGATAATCAGGAAAACAGAGAGAGTAGAGGTAAGCAAGCTTGAAAACAAAAAGCAACCTCCAGGGCCCCAAAACAATACAGGCAATGCAGGGCCTGCTTATGGCCAAACCGTGAGGCCCGCAGCAACCTGGGGCGGCCCTCCCAGCCTGCTGGGCCATTTAGGAGACCCAGAATCTCAAAGCCCAGGTGACAACTGCTTTGTAATGTTTGGGCAGGCGAGGGAGCGGGGCTGACTGGAAGAGGAATTTATATATATAGTTAGCCATAAAAATGGGTTTTATTTAACTTGAATGGGATTGAGGAGGGAGGGCTTTCCTGCTTCCTGTATCACCTGTCAGTCAGCTTCATCTCCCAAGGCACCTTTAACATCAAAATCCTGATACTGTTTGACAAGAACTGCTCTCAAGTGAAGAACGATTTCACAAAATGCCAAATCAGGATGAGAGGCCCATATTTAAAGACTAGCGTGTCCCCAAAACACTGTAGTATGGGAAAAGGTGGGATGAGGAATTGTAAATGGCCAAATCCTTGTTTCTTAGCCTTGTCTTTGGGGTCCCACATGTTTTTCCTTACTCACTGTTTTCACAAAGCATCCATGGTAACAACCAGGGACTCAGTAGAGAGAGAAGTCAAAAGGATCACCGTAAAAATGCCCAGTGGGGTCATAGGTCTGGCCCGTTCCGCCTCTAGTTTCACTCTGCTAGTGGCACACTCTTCAACTTGGTTGCTCACTCAGGCCCCAAACCACAAAGTCATCTTGGATTCTTCCCTTTCCTCACCATTCCGCATCCAAGTCATCAGATTTGTCTTAAAAGTCAAATAAAAAATATTTATGGCCGGGTGTGTTGGCTCACGCCTATAATCCCAGCACTTTGGGAGGCTGAGGTGGGCAGATCACCTGAGGTCAGGAGTACAAGACCAGCCTGACCAACATGGTGAAATCCCGTCTCTACTAAAAATACAAAAATTAACTGAGTGTGGTGGCACACGCCTGTAGTCCCAGCTACTCGGGAGGCTGAGGCAGGAGAATCGCTTGAACCCGCGAGGCGGAGGTTGCAGTGAGCCAAGAACATGCCACTGTACTCCAGCCTGGGCGACAGAGTGAGACTGCATCTCAAAAAAAAAAAATTTACTGTGCAGCAACAATATGCCAAGCACAGTCAAGATACTGGGGGATTGCAGCCGGGCGCGGAGGCTCACACCTATAATCCCAGCACTTTGGGAGGCTGAGGCGGGCGGATCACCTGAGGTCGGGAGTTCAAGACCAGCCTGGCCACTATGGTGAAACCCTGTCTCTATTAAAAATACAAAAATTAGCTGAGCGTGGTGGTACGCACCTGTAATCCTAGCTACTCAGGAAGCTGAGGCAGGAGAATCACTTGAACCTGGGAGGCGGAGGTTGCAGTGAGCTGAGATCTCACCATTGCTCTCCAGCCTAGGGGACAAGAGTGAGACTTCGTCTCAAAAAAAAAAAAAAAGATACTGGGGGATTGCAGGCATGAAGGCCTCACAGTCAAAGAGTTTCCAATCTTATCAGAGGAGACAATAATAAGCACATAAATAAATAAAACTGCCTCAGATTGTATGTAAGCCTGCTCTTATCTGTTAGGTAAAAGAAACTGGCTTAATTCTAGCTATGGAAACGACTTACAAGGGGTTATGCTTAGTGGTTCAAAAATGTCAACAAGGACTGGAGTTCATTCCACCTCTCTTGTTTTGCTGTATCCTAAGATTAGAAGCAAGGTGGCTGCAGCAGCTCCAGGCATCCATTCAGGTATAACCAGGGCCAGAGGGAGAAGAGGCCTTTCCTTCCTGCGACTCCCCAAGGAGAGAGGGACTGTTCGCGAAAAGATCTCACAGACTTCTTTCATGTCTCCTTAACTAGAATTGGGTCACTTGCGCATCCCAGAACCAAAAACTGGCAGAGGGAATCAAATTAACTTTTGATCAAACAGGATGGAGTCTCTGCCCCAAGGAGGTATGTAGGAAGATGAAATCTGACTAGAATTAGGGTTCCTTTAAGGAGGAAGAAGAGGGAAACAAATTCTGGGTTGGCAGCCAACCGTATTGACAACACTAAGAGGGCATTTAAAAACCCAGTAGGGTAGTGAGACAGAGGGCTCGGGAAAGGCTGCCCTAGATCTTGTCCCCATTGCCACTGCCCGGGGCTATGGCAGGAGCCCCCTGGCTGGTCTTCCAGCTACTAGCCTGCTCTCTCCTGCTCTCTCTCACCCCCTGCACCCATTTTCCACACCCTCCCACTGGATCTGCCTAAAATGCAAATCTCCTCACGTTATTTTCTTGCTTAAAATGCTCCTGTAGCGTTACTTCATGTGGAATAAAAAGGCAAACTTTCTAGCAAGAGATGATAATTTAGTACTTCCCACATGCAGGGCACGATTCTAAGCACTGTCTACTGTGTTATTTAACTTACCTCTCAGAACAGCACTCCCATGGAAATCCTATTCTAGCCCCATTATACGAGAGGCAGTCGTGCACTGGGATGTTCATCTTGTCCGTGTGTGAGTTTCCTATTGCTGCTGTGACACATTACCACAAACCTAGTGATTTATTTATGTATTATTATTATTTGTTTGTTTGTTTGTTTGTTTGTTTGTTTTTGAGACAGAGTCTCACTCTGTAGCCCAGGCTGGAGTGCAGTGGCACGATCCTGGCTTGCTGCAACCTCTGCCTCCCAGGTTCAAGCTATTCTCCTGCCTCAGCCTCTGGAGTAGCTGGGATTACAAGTGTGCACCACCACACCCAGCTAATTTTTGTATTTTTAATAGAGACGGGGTTTTGCCGTGTTGGCCAAGCTGGTCTCGAACTCCTGGCCTCAAGTGTTCTGTCACCTCGGCCTCCCAAAATGCTGGGATTACAGATGTGAGCCACTGCACCCGGCCCAAACCTAGTGCTTTAAAATAACAAATTTGTTATCTTACTGTTCTGGAGTCAGAAGTCCACAGTCAAGTTTCCCCGAGCTAAAATGAAGGTGCCTGCAGGGCTGCATTCCTTCTGGAGGCTCTAGAGGCAAATCCATTTTCTTACCACTCCCACCTTCTAGGGCTGCCTGCATTCTCGCCACAAGGCTACAATCACTCCACCTATGATTCCATCATCCATTTCCTGCTCTCCTTTCTGACCTCCTGCCTCCTTTTTTTAAGGGCCATTGTGATTACATTAGCCTCGCTCAGATAATCCAGGATAATCTTCCCTTCTCAAGATCCTTAACTTAATCACATCTGCAAAACATCTTGTAACATAGTCACAAGATACAGAGATTAGGACGGCAGCATCTTTGGAGAGCCGTTATTCTGTCTTCCACTCCTCAGCTCATATGGCAAGAAAGGAGTGGAACCAAGCTTTGAACTCAGCCTCTGCAGGCTCTGCAGCTCCCAGAAGGAGCCATGGGAGTTGGCTTGCTGCACCCTCTCCCAACCTGGTTGTTTTGTCTTCCACCTGGAAAGCCTTTCTTGCATATCCCAGCTCCTCCCAGGGCTGATTCCCACTTGCCCTTAGGACTCAGCTCAAAGTGATCTCTTTTAGGAAGCCTGCCATGGTTATCCCTTTACCCTTCAGCTGGACTGTCTGTCTCTCCTCCAGGCTCCCAGGTCACCAGAGCTTCCTAACTTATAACTTATATTATATATCACTTATACCTAACTTCAAATGGGAATGGGCTTCCCACAGAGTGCCTAGAACTCAGGAAATACTGGTTAGTTGGTGGGTTGGTGGGTGGGTTGGTTGGTTGATTGGTTGGTTGGTTAGTTGGTTGGTTGGTTGAATGAATGAATGATTGAGCTGAGGGTAAGACATTTGAAAGGGGAGACATGATAACAGCTAATAGACATTAGGGAAGGATTTTTTGGCAATTGTCTTTTGAAAACTGTTCTAGGGTGGAGGTACATTTCAGGGTATAGAATGACTTGTACTTTCAGGAACCAAAAGGGATCCAGGTGGGGCCCCCAGTAAGGAACCAGTAAGTTGACATCTCAGGCTGCTCAGGCTGAGTTTTTCAACTCAATTACCAGGTGAGAAAGAAAGCAAGTTTAAGGGCAGGAGCTAGGTTTCAGAATAAAGAGTGAGTACCTGGTGGTGGTGTGTCTCTTGGGACAGGTGAGTGATAGACCAGGCACGATTTCAGAACCTAGAAAGACAAGCCGTTAGCCACTCCCCACCTTGGGAACTTTCAATTCATTAGAGCTTAGAGCTTGAAGCCTACATTACATACACACACATGCACGCATACACTCACGCATGCACACACATTGAAGCAAAAAGAAATTAAGTTCACTGCCACAATCATAGAAGTAGTCAGTGGCAGAACCAGGCTGTGAACCCAAACTGGCTGAGTTCAGCTCTGTATGCTTACCATTGCCTGTCACTGCCTGTCAAGCTGCCTGTCAAATACCAGTTGTATTCTGACCACACTGCCTGTCAAATACCAGTTGTGTTTTATTTTTTTATTTCAGATTCAGGAGGTACATGTGCTTGTTCATTACATGGGTATTACATGCATAATGGTGGGAGTTGGGTTTCTAGTGTCTTCATCACCCACATATTGGACATTTTACCCAGTAGGTAATTTTTCAACCCAGCCTCCCATCCCGTTGGAGTCCCCAGAGTCTATTTTCTCCATCTTTATGTTCATGTGTACCACCAATTACGTTTTATTTTTAAAATAAAGCAATTATCTGGGGATTTTGGAGCCTGACCTAGTTGACATAAAGCCCACAGAAAGAAATAAAGTCAAGGAGAAGACAGAGGAAGAAGGAGTGAGTACTCTCTGCAAAGAACATGTCTCAAAACCAGAAATCAGAAGGCCCAGGGTATCAGGCCGGTCCTTCATGCTCTAAGTGGATTTCCCTCTTAAACTCCGCAATGACCATTCAGTGAGTGTTAGAGTTTTGACCGGATGGAAAGGATTCTTATATGTAAAAAAAAATTGGCCAGGAACAGTGGCTCACGCCTGTAATCCCAGCATTTTGGGAGGCCGAGGTGGGCGGATCACTTGAGGTCAGGAGTTGAGACCAGCCTGGCCAACCCAGTCTCTACTAAAAATACAAAAACAGCCGGGAATGGTTGCAGGTGCCTGTAATCCCAGCTACTTGGGAGGCTGAGGCAGGAGAATTGCTTGAACCTAGGAGGCAGAGGTTACAGTGAGCCGAAATCATGCCATTGCACTCCAGCCTGGGCGACAAGAGCAAGACTCTGTCTTAAAAAAAAATTACGTTATAATTCTATCTCATTAGGTCCTGCAAACGAGAGGCAGGATGAGTTCTCACCCAAAAGAGCACATTTATGTCAACTCTGGAGTTCACCAATGCATTGAATAAATCGAAGCTCCCTAAAAGGCTCACCTAATATTCTGAATTATGTTTTTATCAAAATAAATATAAAACACTCCTGCGCTAGGAAAGCTAAAGTGCCGACATATATTGATACAAACCAGGGCTCTCTCAAGCAAACCGAGTACACTTCTGTTGGATCATAGAGGGACTAGGGCTTTAATTCTTATTTTCCCCAAAGAGGTATTTATATGCACCACAGGTGGAGAGTGGCAAAGGTGCAGGGGCCAGGAGAGGCCTTGGAGGAGCAGGGAGCAGCCCGACGTGGCTGGCATGGTTGGGGCTGGGCAGGAGAAGAGGCTGATGATCCAACAAGGCTGTGCATGCCCAGATAAGGAGCTTGGACATCTCTCACAGGAAATCCGGAGCCCTTGAAGGTCAGGGCAATGCAAGGACCCTTGGCCCTTCCAGCTGCCAACAGTAGATGCAAAGCAAAGTCATGGAATGATGAGAAAGTGCAGAGTAAGTGAGCTCAGTCTCCACTGCTCAGTCACTGCTCAGCTCTGAGAGGCAGGGTTTGTCACCTCACTTCTGGAGTCTCAGGTACCTGGTGAAGTGCCATAAAGGCAGGGATGTCAATCAACTATTTAGCTGCCAGTGAAAAATAAGACATTCTCAAACATGAAACATATAGTAATATGTAAAGGTACATCATGTATGTGATACACACTAACCTTGCAGACTTACTTAAAACAATCATGAATCATGTTCTGTATTCTCCATTCCTTCATCTGATAATAGTAATTCTTGGTAATGAGAAAAATACCCAGGCAGGTAATCAATTCAATGGCTGTCAGTTGTGTTTTCAATTTTCACTAGACTCTGCCCAGCCTATTTAAGGCACTTCAAAAATTAAATCTTTTCCTGAAAAGGTGAATTTTCAGTAAAGAACCAAATAAACTTTCAAATTGTATTATCTGAACATTATTGTTACGGCAGCTGGAATTCTTGATAAAAATTCCAGGAAACCTAGTTGTGAGGAGAAATGAATACTGCACATTGGGAGATAACCTGGATCACTGTGAATCACTCTGGACTTTAAAAAAAAAAAATCCTGATGATCCATCACATTCCAGGCCATTTATATGCAAGCCAGTTGGCTCAGCATCTCTGGGGGAGGACCTGGGCATCAGTACTTATTTCCTAAAACTCCCAGGTGTCTTCAGTGAGCAGGTGGCAACCAAGCTGAATATAGAATCACCTGGAGATTTTTTTACACTACTGACATCTGCCTGCACACCCCCAGCCCACCCCCTGCCCCCGCCGCCCCTGCACACACCACACCAGAGATTCTGATCCAGTTGATCTGAACAGGGACCTGGCTTTTCTTTTTTTTCTTTTTTCTTTTTTTTTTTTTTTTTTTAAGACAGAGTCTCACTCTGTCACCCCAGCTGGAGTGCGGTGGCCCAATCACAGCTCACTGCAGCCTTGACTTCCCTGGATTCAGGCGATCCTCCCACCTCAGTCTCCTGAGGAGCTGGGACCACAGGCGTGCACCACCACATCCGGCTAATTTTTGTATTTTTTGTAGAGATGGAGTTTCATCATGTTGCCCAGGCTGGCTTTGATCTCCTGGGCTCAAGCGATCTGCTTGCCTTGGATGGGCATTGTTTAAGGTGCTGGCTGAGGAGTCAGGGTTGAGGTTTTCTGGCCTAAAGCGACCTCTCTAATAAATCAGTCCAGGCCAATGAACCACCTCTGGATCTTGCCTTTCCCACATTCTCCAATCTTTTGGCAGCCAGCAATGACATGGTGAGGTGAGACTCTACTTTTTCCCTTTCTAATTTGCAAATGAATTAAACCCATCACCACCTTGAGCTGTTAACCATTTTTACCTTGGTGCAAATTACCTGTGGGGCAGCAGCCCTTTGGGAATTTATCCCAGTTGATTGTTAGCTGGTATCAGAAATGTATCAACCCAATTCCTTCCTCTGAATCATTCCCTCCCTTCTTGGAATCCACAGAACTTTCTCATTGGCTCATACGCAGTTCACCTGTGGTATAGTTAGCTAAGGGTGCAGTGGGAGAGTGGCCTTGAACAAACCAGGTATGTGGCAATCCCCAAAAGTGGTTGGTTGTAAGGACGAATGAAGGGAAAGATACCGTTGTGAGTGGAGGTGCAAGAATATGAAGAAGTTTGCACCCTGTGCAGTAATAGGAATTGTGTATCAATCACTTGAGCCTTTAGAGAAGTTAAGTTGCTTGCCCAAGGCCCACAAGGTAGATGACCACATCTGGATTCAAATCCAGGTATCTATGAATCCACTGTTTGTTCATTTTTCTCTGAGTCGCATTGGCATCTTGTAGAAATAGGCCCTAAATCATATATTTGAAACCCCTGGGGCTAGAGTGGCTTGGAATTTAGAACATTTTGGATTTTAGAAGGGTAAATACATTAATATCTGTACTACAAAACATATAAAATTTATCCCAAATGGTATTTAAAAAAAAAAGCCTCCCATCAGCCTCCTGTCAATTCAGAACAGATCGTACCAGCAAGTTTGGGGTTTGCAGAGCTTTTTTTGGATTTGGGAAATGCAGATAAGAGATTGTGAACATGAGCATCAAAGAAAACAATTGCACATAGTGGCAAACATCTACTGGACGGTGAATGTTTGCCAGGCTTTCTGCCAAGCTCTGTACATGTGCGGCCCTCGCAACCAGCTTGCAAGGTAAGTGCTATTGATTACTATCCCCATTCTAAAAATCAGGAAACTGAGGCATGGATGGGCTAAATAACTTGTTTGAAGTCATATGACTAATAAATCCACTCATTTGTTCCATCTCCATTGAAGTTGAAAGCTTATAGTTGAAAAATTTTGTAGAATCATCCACTCTAGAGAAAACCTTTTTTTCTTATTGAATGATTAAAATATTTCCAGAATGACTGGCTGGCACTGCACTCTGATTTCAAAGTCTTTGCTTTACAGCTTTAAATTTGCCTTCTCTTTTTATTGCCTGTCTTGTTTTAACAGCAGCCAATTCACACAAAACAGCTGTAGGTTGTCTCCTTTGCACACTGATAAAAGTCTCAGGAGGTTTCAGGGGAAACCTTGTGCAAAGGACTGGCTCCATCAAAATGAGACCCACTTCCAATAAAGCAGGATACAATGTGGATTTCTATTAAAACAGTGTTATAAAATTAAAGTTGGATGATTGAGGAAGGCTTTTGCTTAGTAATGAGACTCTGTGGGGATGCAGAAGTTGGCCATAAACAGTGTGTTTTGTGGGGATGCAGAAGTTGGCCATAAACAGTGTGTTTTGTCTTCTGCATAACTCGGTTTCCTCTGTTCTGATAACCTGTACCTTCCCAAAGCAATCTAATAAAATTTACAGGAGTGGTTTCCTACTACTGTGCCAAACATTGTTTAGAATGCACTTTAAATACTCTCAAAGATTTAAAAGAAAAGCATCGATGTTCTAATAATTATGAAAACACATCCTCAGAATCCATATAACCATTCAAAAATCAAGGAGAACAATGTCCTTTGTTTAGTTAACCTTTCACCTTTTTTGCCTCATTAGAACTTAAAACTATTAGGCATAATATGCCTAATATAAAACATATATAACCCCAGTGACATGCATTTATTTTGTGATTAGCTGAATTTTTTATTATTTCAGAATATTAGAATATTGTTGTTTTTTTCACAAATATGTTCTTTAAAGCTTTGTTGTTATCTTAAGAGTGATTTTATTAAGCCTGTGTAAAGAGAATGTCCAGATAATGAAATCCAATAGGAAGAAGGGTGTGTCTATAGGAATTGAGTGTAAAAGCGGCTTTGAACCAATTTATTCTTAAATAAATAAGTGTCCTTATGCTGGGTTGGCTTGCCCTACAACATGGGCTGCTTTCTTCTTCACAAAGCTCCCCCTGCTGTTTAATAAAGTCTAACTTTCCCCAATTCTTTCTGAACCTGAAGTGCTTCTAATGATCCTACAAAGTTATCTACTGATGCCTCACATTTTATTACCAAAGCTAGAGCATTTGGCCAAATTTTGCAAAATGTTGAGAACGCAGTAATTCTTTAACAAATGCTTGTTGAATGAATTAGGATATTCCTGTCAACCTCACACCATAAGCCCGGCAACCAAGACAGAAAGAGGTGATGTAGCTCTCAGCTTTCACCTACTGTCCATATGACCTTGGGCAAGTCACGGCACTTCGTTCATTTATTTATTTATTCAACATTTATTGATTGTTAATCCATACCAGGCACCATGCCAAGTGCTAGGGACACAATGGTGGGCAGATAGGTGTGCTTTCTACCCTCACAGACCTTCTGAATCAAGGGGCTCTCAAACCTCGGTGTGTGTCAGATTCACTCAGAGGCCTTGATAAAATACACATGGCTGGGCCCCTCCTCCAGAGTATCTGATTCAGTGGGCTGGGGTGGGGGTCTGAGAATTTGCATGTCTAACAAGTTCCCAAGTGAGGGTGATACTGCTGGTCTGTGGGCCACACTTTGAGAACCGCTGGCTTTAAGAGGAACAGTCACAATAGTATGATAAATGCTGTGATGAGTCCTGGGTGAAACAGGGACACAGAGCAGAGGATTAATCTAGTCTATCGGGATAAAGAAAGTTTTCCCAGACACATGCGTTTAATCAATCCTAAGACCTTAACATCTCAGGCATTGGGATACAAGAAACACTGATCCTTCCTTTTTACACTTTAACATCTGCAAGATCACAATGCATTTGATGAAATACTGTAACAACATTTAAGCAGAAAGGGTAATCAAGACAATGTGGTGCTGGCACACGGAAACATGCATAAATCAATGGAATAGAATAGAGTCCAGAAGTAAATCCATATACCCATGGTTAATTGATTTTTGACAAGGGTGCTGAGATCGTTCAATGGGAAAAGGGCAGTCTTTTCAACAAATGGTGTGGAGATAACAGGATAGCTACATGCAAAAGAATGGAGTTGGATCCTCTACCCAAACCATCTCCAAAAAATTAACTCAAAATGGGTCGAAGACCTAAATGTAAGAGCAAGAGCTATAAAACCCTTGGAAGAAAATAGAGGTAGATCTTCATGACCTTAGATGTGGCAAAAGATTCTTAGATATGACAACAAAATCATGAAAAACAAAAGAAAAAAATAGATAAATTACATTTCATCAAAATTAAAAGCTTTTATGTTTCAAAGGACACCACCAGTAAAGTGAAAAGATAACCCACAGAATGGGAGAAAATGTTTGCAAATCATACATCTGATAAGGGACTTGCATCTAGGATATTTAAAGAACTCTTATGAAGACAATCCAATCAGAAATGGGTAAAATATCTGAATACACTCTTCCTCAAAGAAGATATACAAGTGGCCAAAAAGCACATGACAAAATGCTCAGCATCACTAGACACCAAGGAAATGCAAATCAAAACCACGATAATACTTCACACACACTAGGATGATTATGATTTTTAAAATGGCAGACAATAACAAGTGTTAGCAAGATGTAGAGAAATTAGACATTTGCACACTGCTGGTAGGAATGTAAAATGGTGCAGCTGCTTTAGAAAACAGATGGTAGTTCCTCAACCAATTAAACAAGAGTTACTATATGACCCAGCAATTCCACTTCTAGATATATATCTAAGAGAAATAAAACCATCTGTCCACACAGAAACTTGTACAAGAATGTTTACAGGGCCGGGTGCAGTGGCTCATGCCTGTAGTCCCAGCACTTTGGGAGGCCGAGGCAGGTGGATCACCTGAGGTCAAGGGTTCAAGACCAGCCTGGCTAACACGATGAAACCCCGTCTCTACTAAAAATACAAAAATTAGCCGGGCATGGTGGCGGGCGCCTGTAATTCCAGCTACTCAGGAGGCTGAGGCAGGAGAATTGCCTGAACCTAGGAGGCGGAGGTTGCAGTGAGCCGAGATCATGCCACTGCACTCCAGCATGGGCTACAAGGTGAAATTCCATCTCACAAAAAGAATGTTTACAGCAGCATTATTTGTAATAGCCAAAAGATGAAAACAACCCAATTGTCCAGGGTTACACATGGACAAATGGAGAACCAAAATGAGGCATGGAATATCATTCCACTATAAAAAGGAATAAAATGTCGATACATGCTTCAACAAGGATGAACCTTAAAAATATTATGCCAAGTGAAAGAAGCCTGTCACAAAAGACCACATACTATAAGATTTAATCTGCATGAATATCCTAAACAGGGAAAGTTATAGAGACAGAAAGTAGATTACTGGTTGCTTAGGGTTGGGAGTGGAAAAGGGAGAGGCAGAGAGGTGATAGCTTATGACAAACGGATTTATTTTCGGGGAAGTGACAATCATCTAAAATGGACGATCGTGATAGCTGCACGTATCTGTGACTCTACGAAAACCACTGAACTGTGTACTTTAAATGGGTGAATTGTATGGTATGTGAATTCTATCTCAATAAATTTGCTTTTTAAAAATAGATGCACAAACATACACCCAAATAGACAGATACCTGCAGGATGAATGATAATTAACCAGGCAGAACACGGGAGTACAGGAGATTGGAGGAATAGAGAAAGAAGAGTGTTCCCGGCAGACAGAACTTACTAGATGACAGCCTGGGGAACATGAAAAAAAAAATGGATACGTTGGCAAATATCCTATTTGAGGGACAGAAGGTCAAGAATTAAGACAGTAAGACCAGGCCACAGAGTTGTGCTCTCCCTGCTTACATGTAAAGACAGTGGTTCTCAAAGTGTGGTCCCAGAATGCGAATTGGCCACTACAGAAAATGGTTTGGAGGTTCTTCAAAAGATCAAAATTAGAACTACCATATGATGCAGCAATCCCACTCCTGGATTTATATCCAAAGGAATTGAAATCAGTGCATTGAAGAGCTCTCCCATTTTCATTGCAGCACTATTCACAACAGCCAAGAGATGGAATCAACCTAAGTATCTGTCGTTGGGTAAATGAGTAAAGAAATTATAGTATGTACATTAACGTCATATTGAGAGGTGACAGCGTGCGCCCTCGCTCGCTCTCGGCGCCTCCTCGGCCTTGGCGCCCACTCTGGGCGTGCTTGAGAAGCCCTTCAGCCCACCGCTGCACTGTGGGAGCCCCTTTCTGGGCTGGCCAAGGCCAGAGCAGGCTCCTTCAGCTTGTAGGGAGGTGTGGAGGAAGAGGCGCGAGCGAGAACCGTGGCTGCTGCGCGGCGCCTGCGTGCCATGTGGAGCTCCGGGTAGGCGTGGGCTTGGCGGGCCCCGCACTCGGAGCGGCCAGCCGGCCCTGCCGACCCCCGGCAATGAGGTGCTTAGCACCCGGGCCAGCGGCTCCGGAGGCTGTGCTGGGTCCCCCAGCAGTGCCGGCCCAGCGGCGCTGCACTCGATTTCTCGCCAGGCCTTAGCTGCCTCCCCGCGGGGCAGGGCCCGGGACCTGCAGCCCGCCCTGTCTGAGCCTTCTCCTTTTCCGTGGGCTCCTGTGCAGCCCAAGCCTCCTCAACGAGCGCCGCCCCCTGCTCCACGGCGCCCAGTCCCATCCACCGCTCAAGGGCTGCGGAGCGCGGGCGCAGGGCGAGGGACTGGCAGGCAACTCCACCTGCGGCCAGGGTGCAGGATCCACTGGGTGAAGCCAGCTGGGCTCCTAAGTCGGGTACAGACTTGGAAAACCTTTATGTCTAGCTTAGGGATTGCAAATACACCAATCGGCACTCTGTATCTAGCTCAAGGTTTGTAAACACACCAATCAGCACCCTGTGTCTAGCTCAGGGTTTGTGAATGCACCAATCCACACTCTGTATCTAGCTACTCTGGTGGGGACTTGGAGAACCTTTATGTCTAGCTAGGGGATTGTAAATACACCAATCGGCACTCTGTATCTAGCTCAAGATTTGTAAACACACCAATCAGCACCCTGTGTCTAGCTCAGGGTTTGTGAATGCACCAATCGACACTCTGTATCTAGCTAATCTAGTGGGGAGGTGGAGAACCTTTGTGTCTAGCTCAGGGATTATAAACGCACCAATCAGTGCCCTGTCAAAACAGACCACTCGGCTCTCTGTAAAATGGACCAATCAGCAGGATGTGGGTGGGGCCAGATAAGAGAATAAAAGCAGGCTGCCGAGCCAGCAATGGTCACCCATTTAGGTCCTTTATACATGTGGTTTGGGCTTTGTTCTTTTGCTTTTTGCAATAATTCCTGCTGTAATTCAGTTTGGGTCCGCGTTCCGTTTATGAGTTAAAACGCTGACTATGGAGGTGTACAGCTTTGTTTCTCAAGCTCAAAGAGACTGTGAACCTACTGCAAGGAACAAAGAATTCTAGAGACGGTGCTTTGAGAGCTGTGACAGTCACTGTGAAGGTCCCAGCTGAGCCACCGAAACTGTGATCTTGCCGGGAAGAAAAAGCTCAAAACACCTTCGAAAGGAGCAAGCTCCTGAAACGCTGCCTTTAAAAACTAACACTTACTGTGAGGATCTGTGATTTCATTCTTGGTCAGTGAGACCAAGAACCTGCCAACGTTGCTTACAATATTATGTGGCCCTTGAAGGCAATCCTGCCATTTGCGAAAACATGGATAAATCTGAAAGATATTACACTAACTGGAACAAGCCCAGTAGAGAGAGAGAATACTGCATGATCTCACTTTACATAGGGAATCTTCTTAAAGTCAAGTGCATAGAAATATCAGCGTAAAATGGTGGTTGCCAAGGGTCTGAAGTTGGGCGGGTGGGGTGGTGGTAATGAGATGTTCGTCTGAGGGGCACAAAGTTTCAAGCCAGGCTCGGTCACTCATACCTGTAATCCCAGCCCTTTGGGAGGCTGAGGTGGGTAGGTTACTTGAGTTCAGGAGTTAGAGACTATCCTGACCAACGTGGTGAAACCCCGTCTCTACTAAAAATACAAAAACTAGCTCGGTGCCATGGCAGGTACCTGTAATCCCAGCTGCACAGGAGGCTGAGGCATGAAAATCACCTGAACCCGGGAGGCAGAGTTTGCAGTAAGCCAAGATCGTGCCAGTGCGCTCCAGCCTGGGTGACAGAGCAAAACCCTGTCTCAAAAAAAGTTTCGGTTAGGAGGAATAAGTTTTGGAATCTATTGCACGCAGGGGACAATAATTAATAATGGTGTGTTGTATACTGGAAGTTTGCTAACAGATTTTAGGTGTTCTAACCACATGTACGCAAAAAAGAATATGTGAGATAATGGATATGTTAATTTGTTTGACTGTAGTAATCATTTTGCCACGTATGTGTACCTCAAAACATGATACGCCTTAAGTATATACAATAAAAAATGAAATAAATAAAAATTTAAAATAAAAAACCCCAGTGGTTCCAGGATCAGAAGCAACTGCATCACCTGAGAGCTTGTTAGAAATGCGCATTTCCAGGCCTCACCCCGGACCTACTGAGTCAGAAACTCTAGGGTTGGGACCTAGAAATCTGGGTCTTAACAAGCCCTCCAGCTGATGGCACTGAAGTCTGAGAACCACTTCTCTTGGTTTCTTATAAATCTGATGTCCCTACAGGAGCCAGTTTTTTAAATAGGGTGAATCTAGTCATAGCACTCCTGGCTTGAACCTTCCAGCATTCTGCACTTCTTAGGCAGAGGGCTGACACAATCCGTTTACGTTTTGAAGGTCCCCTCGGGCTGCTCTGTGGAGAATCAGTTAGAAAGGGAAAGAATGATCACAGAAGACAGGTGAGGAGGCCACTGCAATAATCTAGGTACAGGCCATGGGAGCTGGACTCACTAGGCCAGTAGCAGTGAAAACAGAAAAGAGCACACAGCTCTTTGAGAGATATGTAAGTCGAGTCAATAGGATTAGACCTTTTCCCCCTAGCAGCCTCCCAAATTTTTGTTGTTGTTGTTGTAAAATACACATAACACAAAATTTACCATCTTAACCATATTTAAGAATACAGTTGAGTGGCATTAAGGACGTTGACACCATTGTGCTCAGTGCCACTCATCCACAGAAATTTTTCATCTGTCCAAACAGAAATTCTGTACCCATATTGAACAACAACCCCTATTCCTCCCTCCCCAAGCCCCTGGTGACCTCTATTCTACTCTCTGTCTTTATGAATATACTTATTCTAGGTTCCTCATATAAGTGGAATCATACAATCTTTCTGTGTCTGGCTTCTTAGCATAATGTCTTCAAAGTTCATCCATGTGGCATGTGTCACTGTTAGAGTAGGTTGTTAGGTAGACATCAGCAGGGCAGGAGAGGGCTCCCCCACCCCTATCAGGAATGTCAGGGAGCCAGCCGACAATGGCCAGGCAGTTGTCATACTGTTTCTCTAGAATAATAATGGATCACAGCCGGTACCAGGGAAGGGCAGTCTCCCAATAGATAGAAACACCTGAAACTGTGATCAGCAGCTTCCCAGTAAGATCTCAGGAGTTAGGCAAATGGGACTCAAGCATTTGCACTAAGAGGTAAAATAGCAGAGTTTAACCCGTATATGACTTTCCTCTAG